>NC_000010.11:12888787-13040303 GCF_000001405.40 Homo sapiens | reverse complement strand
ACGGTGTCACAAATATTAAATTCTTCGTGGAATTTAATTGCAAATCTGGGTTGACACAGTGGGGTCTTTCCCAAGCACAATCTGGGTATCGTGAAAAACTTGCAAATGGTACCCTCCATCCTAATTCACTGTGTTCGCCCCAGCTTCTGAGACGTCCCTCTCATGCCCATCTTTCCTGGGACAGACAACCTGGATGTTGAATTTAATGCCTTTGTGACTGGGCTTTTAGTGCCAGAGAATCACTTGCCTGAAGTCATAATTCAAATTACAGTGAAATCAGACAGATATTCATAGACTATCAAGCTGGGAGGATGCCAGAGACCATTTACCAATGTCAGCGGTCACCTAGGTGCTATAGGCAGCTCAGGCAGGAAGATCTTTTCTGTGAAACCTTTCTGTGCAGGACAAACAGCATTCTAGATCCTGCCCACTGTATGTCACCAGTACGTCTGTCACAGTTATTGTAACAACTAGAACCCACCTCTCCCGCATTTCCAAGTACTGAGGGAGACGGATGGTCCTACCATTTTCAGCTGACGATGCTGTGCACAAGGAGGAAATCAGATCCAGGAAAAGAGAATTACTTGCCTGAGGTCACAGTGCAAATTACAGTGAAATCAGAATGTTACTCTGCACTCTCCCAACTTTAATCTCTGTCCCGATACTATCCATCTGCAAAGCAGCAGAAAAACATCCTAATTAACTTACTATTTGTGACCAGTATCTGTGAAATGCTTTAAACTCCTAGGCAAAAGATACTAAGTAACTACTCCTAGTTCTTTATTGCTTATTTGTAACTCAAAGCACTATCAATTCCAGTGTAAATAACCAAATAATAATTTAAATTGTAATCCATTCTGGAAGTACCTTTTTTTTTTTTTGAGACAGAGTCTTGTTCTGTCGCCCAGGCTGGAGTGCAGTGGCACGATCTCAGTTCACTGAAACCTCCGCCTCCCAGGTTCAAGTGGTTCTCCTGCCTCAGCCTCCTGAGTAGCTGGGATTACAGGTGTGCTCCACCACACCCAGCTATTTTTTGAGATATGCGGGTTTAGTAGAAACGGGGTTTCACTATGTTGCCTAGGCTGGTCTCGAACCCCTGACTTCAGGAGATCTGCCCGCCTCGGCCTCCCAAAGTGCTGGGATTACAGGTGTGAGCTCGAAGTACTTTTCCTAAAGAAAGCTAGAAGAGGGATGGATAGATGACCACAACCCTGCCAGTGCTTGCTTATTTGAACTGAAGCATGTGCGTGGTGGCATTTGAGCTCTCCGAGATATTTTGTCAAAGAATTTCTCTTGGAGTTACATTATCTACTCCAGGGACCCCTGTTTAGGTTCTTCTGGATTGCGGGAAGGGAACTGGACTTCCAGAAGTCGCCCAATGGGAGCTAAAGGAACCACCTTGAGCAGGTGTGCAAGATGTAGCCACAAGGAGACATAAGTGCTGCAGGATGGTGTGGGAGAAAACAGCCCTCTCCCCAGCCCACAGATCTATCCCTTCCCACAGCTACATCAGCGGGAGCAAGATGCTCCCTGCCAAGCACTTGAAGCTGCCTGGAACAAGGTGCTACACAAACACCGTCCTTATTATTGCTTCTAATCTGCAGACCCTGAGCTCTCTGTCTGTAAATACCAAGACAGCAGTGGGGCTGGGTAGACAGAAGCCAGGGCTTGGAGCACCCCAGGCTACTTGTTGCTAGGTGCTTTGCCAACCAGTGATGCCAAGCCTCTAAGCTAAGCCTCAGCAAGTCCTATATATTTGTCTGTGATAGGAGCTTCCTCTTTTAGAACATAAATACTGGTCTGTTTTCTTAAACAATCAACTTTTGTTCTTTCCCATCAGAGCTACACAGCCCTAGGCTGCTCTTTCTCTTTGCTGAGTCTTGAGAGCAGAACTCAGGTCTTCCAGCTTTCTTTTTTTTTTTTTTTTTTGCTTTCCAACTTTTAAGTTCCAGGGTACATGTGCAGGATGTGCACATTTACATAGGTAAATGTGTGTCACCGTGGTTTGCTGCACAGATCATCCCATCATCTAGGTATTAAGCCCGGAATCCATTAACTACTCTTCCTGATGCTCTCCCTCCTCACACCCTCCACCCTCTGATAGGCCCCAGTGTGTGTTTTTCCCCGCCATGTGTCCATGTGGTCTCATCATTCAGCTCTATTTATAAGTGAGAATATGTGGTATTTGGTTTTCTGTTCCTCATTAGTTTGCTGAGGATAACAGCTTCCAGCTCCATCCATTCCCTGCAATGATCTCGCTCCTTTTCATGGCTGCATATTATTCCATGGTACCACATTTTCTCTTTTGAAATCTGTTGGAGACCTGGCTGGGGAAAAGGCTCTTAGGGTCTAAGTTGTTAGTTTCCCTCCTCCACTGTGGAACCAGCAGAGGAGTAGGGAAGTGTAGAGACTCAGGGTGTATGCCATCCAGTTTCACCAACTAAGGCAGTGCAGAGTGCCTACAAGATCAAAGGATGCTCCTCTGGAAATCTTTGTTTTAGAGATGGGATCTCACTATGTTGTCCAGGCTGGTCTCAAACTCCTTGGTGGGAGAGCTCAGGTAATCCTCCCACCTTGGCCTCCCAAAGTGCCGGGATTATAGACATGAGCTACTATGCCTGGCCTCCTCTGGATATCTTGGCTGGCAAAGGGGTTCAAAGCTTAAGAGATGAATTTGCAGCCAAATTCAGAGGGGGGTGAACTCTTCAAGACAATGCACCGAATTTCCTCAACTACCCAGTGGCGTGGAAAGAAAAAGGGAGGAGAGAGATGATAATTTTACTGATTCTAGTGAGAAAAATATAAAAGAGACTTAGAGACATGATCACCTTCTACAATGTTTCCCATAAACCTATGGTAAAAAGATTATTTTAGAAATTTGGGGAATTTTTATGTAGGATCAAGTGTCAGATGATTAATTTTGTTGGATGTGTTAATGGCATTATGGTTACGTAATAAGGTATTATCTTCTTTTTAATTACCCAATGAAGTATTTAATTTAAAAAAAACTTGAAAACTTGGATTTGTTTTAAAACATTTTGACTTTTAAAAAGTGAGTGTAGATGAAATGTGTGATAAAACGTTGATAATTATTAAAGCTGAGGGCTTGTACGCTATTTTAGACATTTTTATTTTTAAAAATGTAGCAAGGATGACAAATATTTTATATAAAAACATGGGAATTAGTTATGTGATAAAGGTACTCAAAGTACATGAGGCAGCCAGGCACAGTGACTCATGCCTATAATCCTGGCACTTTGGGAGGCTGAGGCAGGAGAATGGCTTGAGACCAGGAATTCAAGACCAGCCTAGGCAACACAGTGAGACCCTATCTCTACAAAAAATAAACAAAGAAAATCAGCTGGGCATGGTGGTGCATGCCTGTAGTCCTAGCTATGCTGGATACTGAGATGAGAGGATTGCTTGAGCCTGGGAAGTCGAGGCTGCAATGAGCCGTGATCACACCATTTGACTCCAGCCTGGGTGACCCCATCTCAAAAAAAAAAAAATGTACATAAGAGCCAGGCACAGTGGCTCACACCTGTAATCCTAGCACTTTGGGAGGCCAAAGTGGGCAGATCACCTGAGGTCAGGAGTTCGAGACTAGCCTGGCCAACATGGTGAAACCCCATCTCTACTAAAAATACAAAAATTAGCTGGGCATGGTGGCGTGCACCTGTCGTCCCAGCTACTCGGGAGGCTGAGGCAGGAGAATTGCTTGAACCCATTAGGCAGAGGTTGCAGTGAGTGGAGATCGTGCCACTGCACTCCAGCCTAGACCACAGAGCGAGACTCCATCTGAAAAACAAAAACAAACAAACAAAAAAAGCACACATAAGGCCTTCACTTTTCTGTCTAGCTTAGAGAGAACATGGTTTTCTAGAAGTTTGTCTGATTTAAGCTCTTTGGGAAAGAGTTTTCTATTTGCAAAGTTTGGTATGGTTTACTTGAAGTTTTAAAAAATATATAGCATGGATTTTTTTAAAGGCTTTGAAAAACCTGTTAAATTCAGTGAGGTCAACAGTATAAAAGAGATAGGGCAGGACTCAGGACAACATCTCTTATCCCCCAACACAATATTTCTTCCATGTTCTCCTTTTCTGTATTACTTCATCCTGGTGGGCAGCCACTTGTTTTTGTTTGTTTGTTTGTTTGTTTTTTGAGACAGAGTCTTGCTCTGTCACCAGGCTGGAGTGCAGTGGCTCAATCTCGGCTCACTGCGTTCTCCACCTCCTGGGTTCAAGCGATTCCCCTGCCTCAGCCTCCTGAGTAGCCGGGACTGCAGGTGCATATCACCACACCTGGCTAATTTTTTGTATTTTAGTACAGACGGGGTTTCACCATGTTAGCCGGGATGCTCTTGATCTCCTGACCTCATGATCCATCCGCCTTGGCCTTCCAAAGTGCTGGGATTACAGGCATGAGCCACCATGCCTGGCCGGGCAGCCACTTGTTTATGGTATTAGACACTTCAGCTCCTTTTTGCTTCTCTCCCTAGAGGAAAGGGTTTCGTTTGTTGCTTTGTCTATTCAAGTCTATTTTCTGAATGTCTTCCCAGGTAGTGCCTGTTCCAGGACAGCTTAAGTCAAGTAGCCCTGGGTTGCACGTGAATGATGATCATAAAACCTGGATGTTCTTGATATTTTAAAACATGCCTCGGGATGATATAGTTCTTCCCTTAACATGAATTAAACAAGCAGAACATGGTTGGTTCAATGGAACATACACAGAAATGATACAGAGCTTGCCCTTAACTAACTCACAGGTTTAACCACAAAAACAAAAATTACAACTTTTTACAAAGGTTCACATAGAGTAGGAGGCCTGTTCTGGCAAAGTGTTTTTGAAAAATGTTGCCGTTCATTTCAGAACCAAGTTGAGACTTATCTTCTTTACCAGCTAGCATTTATTTTTTATTTTATTTTATTTTATTTTTGGTCTCTAATGTCTAATGTGTAACTGCTGAGCTGCAAGAATCATCACTGCAGTCGAGCCCAAAAGTGAGAATTTCTTTTATCTAGCTTTCAGGAAGTTAGCAGAAAAAATAACCTAAGACACGCTAGAGCAAAAACAGGAGAAAAATGCACTAAAGCCAAGAAGAGGCAGCTTCCACCTAGGAAAGCCTCTGGCTGTGAGATTGCCACCCAGAAATGCAGAGAGATCAGTGTTCTCTACCTGGGTATCCTGCAATGATGCCAGGACTGGGCTTCGTAGGGGTTTCCTCCAGTCCTGTTTTTCTTTTCCTCTTTTTTTTTTAATTTTTTTTTTTTAATTTTTTGAGACAGAGTCTCACTTTGTCGCCCAGACTGGAGTGTAATGGCGTGATCTTGGCTCACTGCAACATCTGCCTACTGGGTTCAAGCGATTCTCCTGCCTCAGCCTCCCAAGTAGCTGGGATTACAGGCATCCGCCAACATGCCTGGCTAATTTTTTGTATTTTTAGTAAAGATGGGTTTTTGCCATGTTGGCCAGGCTGGTCTCAAACTCCTGACCTCAAGCAATCCACCCACTTTGGCCGCCCAAAGTGCTGGGATTACAGGCGTGAGCCACCGCACCCAGCGCCAGACCTGGTTTTTTGTTTGTTTGTTTGTTTGTTTGTTTTTTACAGTGAGAACATTGGATTCCATTTATTACAGGAATAATAGTTTAGAGGAATCTGGACTGAACTAATACAAAAAAGGTCCCATTGGAATAATGTTAATACATTCCTAACTATTGCTATGACTTTGGTTTATTTCCAAACTTTTGGAAAAATGTACCCATTTTTTTTTTTTTTTTAAGATCTAGGCTTTTGGGGGAATTCTTTTTTAAAATTATACTTTAAGTTCTAGGGTGCATGTGCACAATGTGCAGGTTTGTTACATATGTATACAGGTGCCATGTTGGTGTGCTGCACCCATTAACTTGTCATTTACATTAGGTATATCTCCTAATGCTATCCCTCGCCCCTCCCCCCACCCCCCAACAGGCCCCGGTGTGTGATGTTCTCCACCCTGTGTCCAAGTGTTCTCATTGTTCAATTCCCACCTATGAGTGAGAACATGCAGTGTTTGGTTTTCTGCCCTTGCGATAGTTTGCTGAGAATGATGGTTTCCAGCTTCATCCACGTCCCTACAAAAGACATGAATTCATCCTTCTTTATGGCTGTATAGTATTCCATGGTGTATATGTGCCACATTTTCTTAATCTAATCTATCATTGATGGACATCTGGGTTGGTTCCAAGTCTTTACTATTGTGAATAGTGCCACAATAAACATACGTGTGCATGTGTCTTTATAGCAGCATGATTTATAATCCTTTGGGTATATACCCAGTAATGGGATTGCTGGGTCATATGGTATTTCTAGTTCTAGATCTTTGCAGAATAGCCACACTGTCTTCCACAGTGGTTGAACTAGTTTACAGTCCCACCAACAGTGTAAAAGTGTTCCTATTTCTCCACATCCTCTCCAACACCTGTTGTTTCATGACTTTTTAATGATTGCCATTCTAACTGGTGTGAGATGGTATCTCATTGTGGTTTTGATTTGCATTTCTCTGATGGCCAGTGATGACGAGCATTTTTTCACGTGTGTGTTGCCTGCATAAATGTCTTCTTTTGAGAAGTGTCTGTTCATATCCTTTGCCCACTTTTTGATGGGGTTGTTTGCTTTTTTCTTGTAAATTTGTTTAAGTTCTTTGTAGATTCTGGATATTAGGCCTTTGTCAGATGGGTAGATTGTAAAAATTTTCTCCCATTCTGTAGGTTGCCTGTTCACTCTGATGGTAGTTTCTTTTGCTGTGCAGAAGCTCTTTAGTTTAATTAGATCCCATTTGTCAATTTTGTCTTTTGTTGCCATTGCTTTTGGTGTTTTAGACATGAAGTCCTCGCCCATGCCTATGTCCTGAATGGTATTGCCTAGGTTTTCTTCTAGGGTTTTTATGGTTTCAGGCCTAACATTTAAGTATTTAATCCATCTTGAATTAATTTTAGTACAAGGTATAAGGAAGGGATCCAGTTTCAGCTTTCTACATATGGCTAGCCAGTTTTCCCAGCACCATTTATTAAATAGGGAATCCTTTCCCCATTGCTTGTTTTTGTCAGGTTTGTCAAAGATCAGATGGTTGTAGATGTGTGGTATTATTTCTGAGGGCTCTGTTCTGTTCCATTGGTCTATATCTCTGTTTTGGTACCAGTACCATGCTATTTTGGTTACTGTAGCCTTGTAGTATAGTTTGAAGTCAGGTAGCATGATGCCTCCAGCTTTGTTCTTTTGGCTTAGGATTGACTTGGCAATGCAGCTCTTTTTTGGTTCCATATGAACTTTAAAGTAGTTTTTTCCAATTCTGTGAAGAAAGTCATTGGTAGCTTGATGGGGATGGCATTGAATCTATAAATTACCTTGGGCAGTATGGCCATGTTCACGATATTGATTCTTCCTATCCACGAGCATGGAATGTTCTTCCCTTTGTTTGTGTCCTCTTTTATTTCGTTCAGCAGTGTTTTGTAGTTCTTCTTGAAGAGGTCCTTCACATCCCTTGTAAGTTGGATTCCTAGGTATTTTATTCTGTTTGAAGCAATTGTGAATGGGAGTTGACTCATGATTTGGCTCTCTGTTTGTCTGTTATTGGTGTATAGGAATGCTTGTGATTTTTGCACATTGATCTTGCATCTTGAGACTTTGCTGAAGTTGCTTATCCGCTTAAGGAGATTTTGGGCTGAGATGATGGGGTTTTCTAAATATACAATCATGTCATCTGCAAGCAGGGACAATTTGACTTCCTCTTTTCCTAATTGAATACCCTTTATTTCTTTCTCCTGCCTGATTGCCCTGGCCAGAACTTCCAACACTATTTTGAATAGGAGTAGTGAGAGAGGGCATCCCTGTCTTATGCCAGTTTTCAATGGGAATGCTTCCAGTTTTTGCCCATTCAGTATGATACTGGCTGTGGGTTTGTCATAAATAACTCTTATTATTTTGAGATACGTCCCATCAATACCTAGTTTATTGAGAATTTTTAGCATGAAGGGCTGTTGAATTTTGTCGAAGGCCTTTTCTGCATGTATTGAGATAATCGTGGTTTTTGTCTTTGGTTCTGTTTATGTGACGGATTATGTTTATTGATTTGCATATGTTTCAACCAGCCTTGCATCCCAGGGATGAAGCCAATTTGATTGTGGTGGATAAGCTTTTTGATGTGCTGCTGGGTTCGGTTTGCCAGTATTTTATTGAGGATTTTCGCGTCAATGTTCATCAGGGGTATTGGTCTAAAATTCTCTTTTTTGGTTGTGTCTCTGCCCGGCTTTGGTATCAGGATGATGCTGGCCTCATAAAATGAGTTAGGGAAGATTCCCTCTTTTTCTATTGATTGGAATAGTTTCAGAAGGAATGGTACCAGCTCCTCTTTGTACCTCTGGTAGAATTTAGCTGTGAATCCATCTGGTCCTGGACTTTTTTTCATTGGTAGGCTATTAATTATTGCCCCAATTTCAGAGCCTGTTATTGATCTATTCAGGGATTCAACTTCTTCCTGGTTTAGTCTTGGGAGGGTGTATGTGTCCAGGAATTTATCTGTTTCTTCTAGATTTTCTAGTTTATTTGTGTAGAGGTGTTTATAGTATTCTCTGATGGTAGTTTGTATTTCTGTGGGATTGGTGGTGATACCCCCTTTATCATTTTTTGTTGCATCTATTTGATTCTTCTCTCTTCTTTATTAGTCTTGCTAATGGTCTATCTATTTTGTCGATTTTTTCAAAAAACCAGCTCCTGTATTTATTGATTTTTTGAAGGTTTTTTTGTGTCTCTATCTCCTTCAGTTCTGCTCTGATCTTAGTTATTTCTTGCCTACTGCTAGCTTTTGAATGTATTTGCTCTTGCTTCTCTAGTTCTTTTAATTGTGATGTTAGGGTGTCAATTTTAGATCTTTCCTGCTTTCTTTTGTGGGCATTTAGTGCAATAAATTTCCCTCTACACACTGCTTTAAATGTGTCCCAGAGATTCTGGTATGTTGTGTCTATGTTCTCGTTGGTTTCAAAGAACATCTTTATTTCTGCCTTCATTTCGTTATTTACCCAGTAGTCACTCAGGAGCAGGTTGTTCAGTTTCCATGTAGTTGAGTGGTTTTGAGTGAGCTTCTTAATCCTGAGTTCTAGTTTGATTGCACTGTGGTCTGAGAGACAGTTTGTTATAATTTCTGTTCTTTTACATTTGCTGAGGAGTGCTCTGTTTCCAACTATGTGGTCAATTTTGGAATAAGTGTGATGTGGTGCTGAGAAGAATGTATATTCTGTTGATTTGGGGTGGAGAGTTCTGTAGATGTCTATTAGGTCTGCTTGGTGCAGAGCTGTGTTCAATTCCTGGATATCCGTGTTAACTTTCTGTCTTGTTGATCTGTCTAATGTTGACAGTGGGGTGTTAAAGTCTCCCATTATTATTGTGTGGGAGTCTAAGTCTCTTTGTAGGTCTCTAAGGACTTGCTTTATGAATCTGGGTGCTCCTGTATTGGGTGCATATATATTTAGGATAGTTAGCTCTTCTTGTTGAATTGATCCCTTTACCATTATTTAATGGCCTTCTTTGTTTCTTTTGATCTTTGTTGGTTTAAAGTCTCTTTTATCAGAGACTAGGATTGCAACCTCTGCTTTTTTTTTCTGCTTTCCATTTGCTTGGTAGATCTTCCTCCATCCCTTTATCTTGAGCCTATGTGTGTCTCTGCATGTGAGATGGGTCTCCTGAATCCAGCACACTGATGGGTCTTGAGTCTTTATTCAGTTTGCCAGTCTGTATCTTTTAATTGGAGCATTTAGCCTATTTACATTTAAGGTTAATATTGTTATGTGTGAATTTTATCCTGTCGTTATGATGTTAGCTGGTTATTTTGCTCATTAGTTGATGCAGTTTCTTCCTAGCATTGATGGTCTTTACAATTTGGCATGTTTTTGCAGTGGGTGGTACCGGTTGTTCCTTTCCATGTTTAGTGTTTCCTTCAGGAGCTCTTGTAAGGCAGGCCTGGTGGTAACAAAATCTCTCAGCATTTGCTTGTCTGTAAGGGATTTTATTTCTCCTTCACTTATGAAGCTTAGTTTGACTGGATATGAAATTCTGGGTTGAAAATTCTTTTCTTTAAGAATGTTGAATGTTAGCTCCCACTCTCTTCTGGCTTGTAGAGTTTCTGCTGAGAGATCTGCTGTTAGTCTGATGGGTTTCCCTTTGTGGATAACCCAACCTTTCTCTCTGGCTGCCCTTAATATTTTTTCCTTCATTTCAGCTTTGGTGAATCTGACAATTATGTGTCTTGGAGTTGCTCTTCTCGAGGAGTATCTTTGTGGCTTTCTGTGTATTTCCTGAATTTGAATGTTGGCCTGCCTTACTAGGTTGGGGAAGTTCTCCTGGATAATATCCTGCAGAGTGTTTTCCAACTTGGTTCCATTCTCCCCGTCACTTTCAGGTATACCAATCAGACCTAGATTTGGTCTTTTCACCTAGTCCCATATTTCTTGGAGGCTTTGTTGATTTCTTTTTACTCTTTTTTCTCTAAACTTCTCTTCTCGCTTCGTTTGATTCATTTGATCTTCAATCACTGATACCCTTTCTTCCACTTGATCAAATCGGCTGCTGAAGCTTGTGCATGCGTCATGTAGTTCTCGTACCATGATTTTCAGCTCCGTCAGGTCATTTAGGGTCTTCTCTATGCTGTTTGTTCTAGTTAACCATTCGTCTAATCTTTCTTCATGGTTTTTAGCTTCTTTGCGATGGGTTCGGACATCCTCCTTTAGCTTGGAGAAGTTTATTATTACCGATCGTCTGAAGCCTTCTTCTCTCAACTTGTCAAAGTCATTCTCTGTCCAGCTTTGTTCCATTGTTGGCGATGAGCTGCATTCCTTTGGAGGAGAAGAGGCGTTCCGGTTTTTAGAATTTTCAGCTTTTCTGCTCTGGTTTCTCCCCATCTTTGTGGTTTTATCTACCTTTGGTCTTTGATCATGGTGACGTACAGATGAGGTTTTGGTGTGCATGTCCTTTCTATTTGTTAGTTTTCCTTCTAACAGTCAGGACCGTCAGCTGCAGAGCCCCAGACCTGTTTTTAAGCCAACAGGACAAGATGAGACAGCTTCCTGAGGCAGTATCAAAACAGCTTTCCTTATGACTGGGGATTTGGGGTTTAGAGGTGAAAACCGTAGAGTGGGCAGTGGAATCAGAAAGGACACAGCAGGAGCACATTGCCAAGGCTGGCATCCTGTCACTCTCTCCTGCACCCAGTTACACACCTGCACACCCTGTTTAGTGGCCGAACAGGCTACTCAGTCAGAGGGAATTTTCACACACTGTCAGGTCATTCACTGATCAAATAAGCATCTGCTGGCAGCTGGAATTATGGATGTCATTTTGCAGGTGCTATGGTGTGGCAGGGAGGGAAGCACTGTGCTTCCTGTCCTCAGGTCAGTTCCAGTCTAGCAATGTCCAGAATAATTCCTTACTTCTCAAGAGGCAGAAGCTTGGTTTTGGTGGATTTGACTATTAGAGAGAGAGATGGAACCCTTTGCATGTGCCACTACAATCCTGCTATTTCCTAAATATTCATATTTCTATCTCATCAATTCATCTTCCTAGGATTCCACCCCAAACCAGTTGTTTGGCGTGTGGGGCAAAGGGACTAGAAAGAGTCCACAAATTCACTCCAATACCATTTTTCTGATGTGATGGGACAATCCATTTAAATCCCTAAATGTTTTGTTCAACCCTGTCATCTGTGGGTGCTCTATGAGATGAGAATTGAGTAGTTCTCACATTAGGAAAAAAATTAACTCAAAATCCCAATGAGTTGTTCAGCTGTCTGGGTGGTCTGGTTCACTCCTCTTCTAAATTCTGTTATGGGTTGTGTGTATTAGTCTGTTCTCATGCTGCTAATAAATACATACCCAAGATTGGGTGATTTATAAAGAAAAAGAGGTTTAATGGACTCACAGTTCCCACGTGGCTGGGGGAGGCCTCACAATCATGTCAGAAGGTGAAGGAGGAGCAAGGGCACATCTTACATGGTGGCAGGCAGGAGTGTGTGTGCAGGGGAACTGCCCTTTATAAAACCATCAGATCTCATGAGACGTACTCACTATCATGAGAACGGTATGGGAAAAACCCACCCCCATGATTCAATTACCTCCCACTGGGTCCCTCTCATGACACATGGGGATTATGGGAGCTGTAATTCAAGACGAGATTTGGGTGAGGACACAGCCAAACCATATCATTCTGGCTTTTTCACATTAATAAACTATATATTGTAGTAGCCTGGTCGTTGTAAACAGAGGGTCCTGGCCAAACTGTGGCAAACACACTACTGCAGAATTATGTCACCTAAGAGGAGCATCAATCTTGGTTTCCATCATTAATTGAGAAGATAGGATGTGGGATCTATATTCTGGGTCAGACATTTTCCATGTGTAACTATGAGAACTTGGAAAAGTTAATATAACCTCTCTCAACTATTGTTTTAGTTCATTATCCATAAAATGGTGCTAATAGTAGTCACCTTGTAAGGTCGTATTGATTAAATGAGCTCAGGTGCGGAAAGTACTGAGTAGTTTTTTTTTGTTTTTTTTTTTTAATTTTTTTTGAATTGGAGTCTCACTCTATCACCCAGGCTACAGTGCAGTGGTGTGATCACATCTCACTGCAGCCTCAAACTCCCAAGCTCAAGCAATCCTCCCGCCTCAGCCTCCAAAAGTGCTGTGATTAGAGGCATGAGCCACTGTGCCCTGGGCGTGGATGGTTGATACATAATATGACATATGGCGGTTGCTCAGTGAATGATAGCTATTAATAAGTTAATGATTAGCCTCTTAATCAGTGTCTTAGTGCAATGAGACGTCAGAGAGAAAGAGACAGGGGAAGACTTCATATTATTATGGGATGTGTAGAAATTCCTGATAAATATGACAGATGGGAACCATTTCTAAAGGGAGTTACTGAATCACTTTCTCATTAGATTCTTTAAAATAAGACAGCATCTGTTTGTTGAAAGAGTTGGATGTGGAGGGGATGCCCTCTGAGGTGTGCTTTGGGTTCTGAGAAACGTCTGTTAGTGGAGGAATTGCTGCTAAGATTCCCCTACGGACCTACACACTGACCCTCACCTAAGCTCACCCCTGATGAGAGCTCCACCCTCCAGCTTGCCCATAGACCAACTCCCTATTCTTCAGAGGTTTTGTTTTCAAGTTTGACAGACACAGATACTAAAGCAAGGTTGACAGGTCCTTTACAAAGTACCAAGATTGCCATGGGAACTAAGGCACAGTGACAAAACCACAAGGGTTGGGTATCCTTTGCTTAATTGCTTATGAAGATATGTGAAAGGAAAGGAAATTTCAGATCTGGTAAAATGACGGATCTGTTCAGGAGGAGGAAATGGAAGAAGAGGTAACAACACCCTCGGGGGCGGCCCAGGCAGCTCTGTTAAGATCACTGGCTCCATGGAAGCATTTTGATGACAGAGTTTTACTTACAGTACTTGTTATATTCATGCTGGAGTGGGAAAGAAAAGCTTATGATGTTGACTATTATGAGATTAAACTGAGAATCTCTAGGGAGAAAAACGAAATGGTTAGCATGTATGCTTTTTGGCTGGATTTTAAATCTCTTTAAAAAACAATTACCTGTAGTTTCATCAAGGATTAGTTGAGAATGTGGAGTGTTTCCTAAATTTTAGTGAATTCAGTCATTTCAAGCCTTTTCTATTGCTATGTGAAAAAGATATATCCCAGGTATTGAATGCTAAGTGCAGACCGTGCAGTGTTATAAAACATGAAGCACTCATATTCTTCAAACTTTCACTTAAAGCTTAAGAAAAAAAAATGAAGCCAAGAAACAAAATTAAACTCCCATTTAAAAACTACACCTTTGTTCAAAATGTTCTATGTAAAGACTATAGGCCTTTTAGAATTAATTTCTGTAGTATCCTCCCACTAAAGCAGTTTGTAAAAGCTGTAGGTTATTAAGGTATGATGAGGAAAGTACTATTGTATATAATTTCAGGCCACACCTAATTATCAGCGCCTAGTTATAAAGTGGGTGGGAGAGTGACCCTTTAATTCTTCTTAAATAGTGAAGTTTTTTATTTTTTAAATTATTTATTTTTATTTATTTTTGAGACAGAGTCTCATTTTGTCACACAGGCTGGAGTACAGTGTGTGATCTCGGCTCACTGCAACCTCTGCCTCTCGGGTTCAAGCAATTCTCGTGCCTCAGCCTCCTGAGTAGCTGGGATTACAGGCACACGCCACCAAGCCCAGCTAATTTTTATATTTTTTGTAGAGATGGAGTTTTGCTATGTTGGCCAGGCTGGTCTTGAACTCCTGGCCTCAAGTGATCCTCCGACCTCAGGCTCCCAAAGTGCTGGGATTACAGGCGTGAGCCACCATGCCCGGGTGAGTTTTTTAAAAAAGATATTTGTCAGGAAGAGGGATGATATTTGGTGCTATTATGATGCTCTTATTTCCAGGGACCAGCAACGTCTAAAGACTGTTTTGTGTCTTACTCCTTTTCTGCAAAGTGTTCTTGATCTGAGAGTGAGACTCAAGTTACAAAAGCTAAGTGAAAAACAAAATACAAGAAGACCTCTTTATATCTGAGGATAATTGATAGTAGGAAAAGGCCACTCAACTGGAATCCACTGAAAGTGAGGACCAAAATGTCACCGTAGACAACATAAAACAGGTTCGATGGTAGTTTCTTAAAATAAAATGAAAATTTATAAAAGTGATTTTTTGACGTTATATTTAACAAGATTCTTTTATAATGACAATTGCGCCCTAAGTCATTTGTTCAACCAAATGAAGGCTGTGATAGAATTTGGTGGCTCTCACTAAACTACTCCTTAGTGCTTGTTCCCTTATGAGCCCCCTCATATGTTAATTCTGTGTTTGGCTACCTGATGAGCTTTGGCCAATGCAACTTTAGGAAGACTGATGCAAGGGAAGGCTTGATAGGTCCCTGCACTTTAAGGCTTGCCTTCTTGGAATGCTTTTTCTTGGAACCAATCTGCCATGTTATGAGAAACCCTAAGCAACCACATGGAGAAGAACTGAAGCCCCTTCGCCAATTCCAGTTGAACCTCCAACCAGCATCCAGTACCAATTTACAGCCATATAAATGAGGCCATGGCAGACCCTTTAGACAGTCCAACTCCAAGTCAACAATATGTGAAGTGTAATAACCCCCTGGTCAACCCACAGAATTGGAAGAAGTAATAAGAAATTATTATAAACCATCAAATTTGGGGATGGTTTGTTATGCAGCAATAGATAACTAAAATATAAATTGTTACCTGAAAGTGAGGTCCTGTAATAACACAGGCTTTGAGTCTGGCAGAAGGAATGAAGAAATATGGAAGAATGGGAAGGAGACTGTTAGTGGGGGCTAGAAGGGCAATGAGGAGATTCCTATGGGAAGCCGGAGGAAAGAGAACCCAAGTTATGTATTGGCAGAACAAGTAACAGAACGGTTGCCTTGGTAATATGGGAAATAGAAAACATACCTAATAAACTTGTGGACCTGGCTAAGGAGATTTTCAGGCAGAAAATATGGAATGCGCAATCTGGCTTCTTTTTAGTTGCCTATGACGGAGAACAGAAGGTACAAGTTAAGCTAGAGAAGGACCTGTTCAGATTTCAAGTAAAATTTAGAAGAACTAAAAAGGAGCTATAATTTGCTGTGTTTGATAACACAATTGTTTTTCATTCCTAGTCTTTCCAAGAAAGAATTTTCAAAGTAAGAAATGGCCTTGGTTTCAAGATGCAATGCAGGGTGCTGGGAGTGAAATATGGCTTTAGGGTCAAGATCTCTATTAACACATTAGACATATTTAAAGAATTCTCAGAGTTTCTCTCAGCTAGGCAAAATATACTAAGAATCTTAAAAGTATTTTCCCGTAGCATCCTGACATGCAGCCAGAGAGAGGCTGCAAACACCAGTTCTTCAGAGAGAGGACTGCCTTGAAGAGATCTGTTAGTGCACTTTTCTCTAATGGAGATTACAGTTTGATGCATATAAAACTATACAAATTTTAATAAAATTATATCAGCCTGGACTGAAAAAAAAAACTAAGGAAAGAGATAGCTCAAAATGAAAAGATGCCTCAAGACCGCCAAACTTCTATGGGGAGGAAGTAAGCCAGAAAAGAAACTCATTTCTTTTGGGTCATTTCTCTTGGAAAAAGAAGGATATCTCAGAGAACAGAGCCTAAAGCACAGAGGGCAGAGGTAAGAGGCACAGAGAATCAGTTCCAGGGAGTAGAACTGAGCCATCATCAGTAAACTAGCTACATGTACCTTACTGGATTTCAAAATTGCTATGGACCAGTAACTTCTGTGTACCACCCATTTTCAACCTTTTTGAGTAGGAATGTCTATTGCAGGTTTCCTATGCTTGCCTTATCGTTGTATATTGGGTGTGTGTAGGCCAGAAAACACACCTCTTTAGTTCACACATCTTCAGATAAAGAGGCGTTGCACCCAAGAGACCCCTTCTGCACCTGGATTGATTTGGATGATGAGATTCTGTACATGATATCATAATGAGACAAGACCTTGGATGCTTTGGAGGGGATAATTATATTTTTCA
This sequence comes from Homo sapiens, assembly GCF_000001405.40. Taxonomy (NCBI): domain Eukaryota; kingdom Metazoa; phylum Chordata; class Mammalia; order Primates; family Hominidae; genus Homo; species Homo sapiens. The sequence goes on along the minus strand of NC_000010.11, from coordinate 13,023,706 downwards.
TGTAGTAAGGACATGGCCCATTAGAGACCAGAGAGTGCTCTGGTGGCCCTGAATGAATCTTATTTCCTGGGATTCAGAGCTTTGTGTAGTTCCCTCCATCATTGACTCTCAGCTTGGCCACGTGACTAGCTTTAGACAACGGGACGTTAGCAAGAGTGGTGTGACTGGAGACTTGATAAATACTTGCACACTGGGGCATCTTCTCTTAGAACAGGTCTTCTTGAAACCTAGCCACTAAGCTAGGAGGAACCCTGAGCAACTTTGGGTAGGAGAACTGAAACCCCAGAAAACCTTCCAGCTAAGCCCCCAGTCAATGGCCAGCACCAACTTTCAGCCATGTGAATAAAGCCATTTTGGACCTTCTTGTCATTCCAGCATCCAGACTACAAGTGAAACAGAAAAAACTACCTAATCAACCAACAGAATTGTGAGCAACGTTACATTGTTATTGTTTTAAATCATGAAATGTATAGGTGGTTTTTATGCAGCAGTAGATAAGTCAAACAGGAGGCTAATAATTTTTAGATAAAATTGTACAATAGCAGCGTTAAATATCTTTTATTTTACACTTTCCTTTTGCTGTACAATCATGAAAAGGGCTGTTTTGTGCAAAAAAAAAGTGTGCAAAAAAAAACACAACTCAAGGATTTTATTTAATTTTTCCCCAGTAGTTTGTTAATCTTTTTCTATTTGACTCTCTTTCTTTTCAAGTATTTTTTATGTCATCTTCCTTGTTGACTTTCTCTTTGATTTTAAACTGGTCAACTTGTGCTATATCTTCATTTATTAATGGCTTGGCCTATATTTCAAGCAGTTCTGCAATATCACTTTCATCAACTTTGTAAAATTCTGCATCTCTTGCAATATTTATAATTTCTTTCACAGTAGACTTCCACTCTACTTGAATTTATTATCTGCTATAATATTGGTGAGATACATAGATACTAATATCTTGAAAGGAGGGACATTTGGTTGGGAATTAATTTGATAAATGGTCAGTTTTTAAAAAACAGTTTCACATCATGATTTTGCTTCTGTTAACAACTCTGATAATGGATGCTCAGATTGAGGGTCCCCTTGCATTAGGTTGGGGCAAAAGAAATTGCAGTTTTTGCCATTACTTTAAATTAAAAATGGCCATTACTTTTGGCCATTAAAAGTAATGGCAAAAACCGCAATTATTTTTGCACCAACCTAATACCACTGCATTTATAGCTGAGCAGGTCCTAGGATCAGCTGATGGTGGGCTTTCTGGTAAATGCTGAGTTGAAGCATGTGATTTAGGCTCCTGATCTAAGATGGACTTCCTGCTTTTCACCCTGAATCAAAATTTTGGCACCAACACACTCTAGTATAACTTTAAGGAGGGAGCAAGACAGAGAAAAATCTGGATTCTCAGATCGGGTCCTGACCTGCTTGAGCATGCCCTTATAGGTGTGGAAGGGGTGAAAAAAAGAGAGAGAGGATTGCTTTGAGAAGATAGCTTCTGCATAGTCTGCAGGAGGAGGTTGAAGAGAGGAGGACGTCTGTTCACTGGCAGATGTGACTTAGTGAATTTCCTGTACTCTCATCAATAAACTTAGTCATTCCTCATCTCTTGTGGTGGGCTGGGGGAGGAAGGAATGGGTTAGAAAAATAGAGGAGTAAGGCTGGGCGTGGTAGCTCACACCTGTAATCTCAGCACTTTGGGAGGCCAAGGCAGGCAGATCACCTGAGGTCAGGAGTTCGAGACCATCCTGGCCAACATGGTGAAACCCCGTCTCTATTAAAAATAGAAAAATTAGCTGGGCATGGTGGCGTGCACCTGTAATCCCAGCTACTTGGGAGGCTGAGGCATGAGAATTGCTTGAACCTGGGAGAGGTTGCAGTGAACTGAGACCGTGCCACTGCACTCCAGCCTGGGCAATAGAGCTAAACTCACTCTCCAAAAACAAACAAACAAACAAAAAAACAAAAAATAGAGGAGAGGAGTAGGAAAAGAGGCCTGAGGAATCCCATCCCTGTACAATATCCATCTTATTGGAGATAAACTATCCATTGGATAATGGGAGGTTGGAAGTCACAAAATAGAGAAAAGAGATAGGTATTACATTCAGAGGGCAGATCATTCTGAATTTCTCTATTCGTTTTGTCCTGTGGAAAGGAGAAAAGAGACCTGAACAAAGGAAGCCGCACCTCTGGGCAGAATAGATTTAGCAACAGACTAAGAGAAGCTGCCACAGGAAAGAGCTCTTGTCAGAGTCAAGTTATCAGAATTTGTTGCTGGAAAAAGCTGCAAGATGTTTTGAAGCCAGCTTTGCCTAAAGTCTGATACTAAAACAAGGAGAGAGTTGACTTTAAGAGAGGATTGAAGTGGAGAGAAGATTTTGAGTGAAGACCTGGAGAGCACAGCAAGATTAAGCTGTGATTGATAGGAGTAAAAAGATGGAGAGAAAATGATGGTACCTTGAATTGGTGTATTTTTAAAAGTTGCCCCAGAAGTATATCTTCTTTTATTGTTAAATGTTAAGCTTAGTTATTTCCTCAAAGAACTGCATTTTTGCAAATGCCGAGTAGAACATTTATAGCTATAATATAACATTGCTATAGTCTATACCTCAAAGCCTACACTTTTGAGTTTGAACACACAAAATAAATACATGACAAGAGCATTTTTAGTGCTAAATAAACCTCCAAAAAGCTGAAGTTGTATGTTGATAGGTACAGGACATATTGATTCATTCATTCATTCATTCGTTCATTCAGCAAATATTTGAGTGCTTGCTCAGTACCAGTCATTACTGATACCTAGTGCTCATATTTATTTATTCATTATTGTTTTTAATTTTTTGTTTTATTTTCTTTAATAAGTTTTTTTTGTGAAAACTTTTTGCTCATAGTCATTGTAAGATGAATCTCTTGGCTATTCTTGGTAAAGTTGTTATTCCATGCCTCCTCCCTACGTTATCACTGTGTATTTTATTTAGTAGCTAAAAGTATCTTCCTCAATTGAGTGGAGTATTTTTCAGATCAAGGCTGATCTGGTTATCCAATAATCAAAAGGATGGTTGACTTTTCCTTCTGTACATTCCTTAAAAATCAGTGCATATTTTGAGGTGAGAATGATCCATTATGTATGGAAACTCTCTGTGATTACTCCACAAACTTTTGAAGAATAGATGTTCCAAATCAAGAAAGAAATGTGTTGTAGGCTGATAATTTCATTAGAGCATGAAAGAAAAAATAAGCTTATTCCCTTATAACGATGTTTAACATTATATAGAAATAAGCTTTGTCCTTTGTTTGCTGAGAATAATAGCACAACCCTCTGTGTGAAGATGATTTATCTCTTGCTAAACCGCGCTAACTGTTCATGACAGCAAAAAGACAGGTGTCATTAACCTTAGGTGTTGACAATTTAGAATTCATGGGAATGAGTTAGAAAAACAATAGCTGAGTCCCACCCCTGAATTTGTGTGAAACAAATGAATCCTGTAAACCATCGCCACTCATGCCTCATGTTACTAGAAAAGAGTTCCCCTTGAATTTTCAGAGTGGGGATTTGGTTTTATGTCCCTTCTATCTGAAGTCGAAGTGAAAATTGTTTTGAAGAAAAATGGATCTGTATTCCAATCAAAGTATTTTCCAAGGTCCTAGTATCAAGTTTATTTGTAAATTCATAATTTACTAATAGTGTTCATATTTATGTATTTATTTTTATTTATTTATTTTAGAAGGAGTTTCACTCTTGTTGCACAGGCTGGAGTGCAGTGGTGCAATCTCTGCTCACTGAAACTTCCACCTTTAGGTTTCAAGCGATTCTTCTGCCTCAGCCTCCTGAGTAGCTGGGATTACAGGCGTGCACTACCACACCGGGCTAATTTTTGTACTTTTAGTAAAGACGGGGTTTCACCATATTGGTCAGGCTGGTCTCGAACTCCTGACCTCAGGTGATCCACCCAGCCTGGCCTCCCAAAGTGCTGGGATTACAGGCGTGCACCACCCTGCCTAGCCCAGTGTTCATATTTATTCATGCAGTCTTGAAAAACATATTTTTAAACGTTATCATGAGTCATGTGGGGTCACCAGCATTAAGTTATAATGTATTTTTAAATGGAACAAAGTCAGTAATGGAAAATGTAAGGAAAAAACAGATATTCTTCTACCAAGTACTTTACTTAGGGGTAGAAGTTAGTGCAATGCTGATCACGTGATACCTCTACAACGAGAACACAGACGGAAAGATCAGTAAATGCTGTGTGCACGTGAAAAACCACGTGGTGGGAGAAACGCTCTCATTGTGATACCTGTGGGCTTTTGCTATGAATGAACCAGTTGGACTTTTTCCTGATGCTAAAAAAGGGCTGAAATTTTATTTATGGTTCAGAGCAATCTTAACCCTTTTCATGCAGTGCTTTCATAGTAAACATAACAATAGCCAAACGTCTTCTATACTTTCTATTCATTTTTCTTTCTTTCTTTCTTTCTTTTTTAAAGACAGAGTCTCACTCTCTCACCCAGGCTGAAGTGCAGTGGCACGATCAAGGCTCACTGTAAGCTCTGCCTCCCGGGTTCATGCCGTTCTCCTGCCTCAGCCTCCCGAGTAGCTGGGACTACAGGAGCCTGCCACCACGCCCGGCTAATTTTTTTGTATTTTTAGTAGAGACGGGGTTTCACCGTGTTAGCCAGGATGGTCTCGATCTCCTGACCTTGTGATCCGCCCGCCTCGGCCTCCCAAAGTGCTGGGATTACAGGCGTGAGCCACTGCGCCCGGCCTTTTTTCCTTTTTTGAGACAGAGTTCCGCTCTTGTCATCTAGGCTGGAGTGCAACGGCATGATCTCGGCTCACTGCAAACCTCCACCTCCCAGGTTCAAGCCAAATTCTCCTGTCTCAGCCTCCTGAGTAGCTGAGATTAGAAGCACTCACCACCTCGCCCAGCTGATTTTTTTTGTATTTTTAGTAGAGACGGGGTTTCGCCATATTGGCCAGGCTGGTCTCGAACTCCTGAACTCAGGTGGTCTTCCCATCTTGGCCTCCCAAAATGCTGGGATTACAGGCATGAGCCACTGTGCCCGGCCTCTATTCATTTTTCAATAGTCCATCATAATATCCCACTAAGACGAAAATCCTGTGAGATTCTTCCTCCAGGATGAGAAACTATTTCTCCAGGAACTTTTCAATAGGATTTTAAGTCCCCTGTGCAGCTTGCAAAAATGTGGAACCAGCACACTGAAGACACACAGTGGCCTGTAGGCCGGGAGTCTTTGTAAACTTTCCCATGTATCTCGTTCTACCAGCTTTTCACATTCCCTGGGCAGATACTGATGAGATATCAGACAAGTATGTCAGGGATGAAAGCTGGTCTAGTGTGCACAGTTTGTGAATTTACATTCTCTTGAGAGGGCCCAGCTGTGAGTCTTCCCTTCAGCAGGAAGACTCCCCTCCACCCCAAGAACTTTGTTCCACTCTTCCACTGTCCATATTTCCACCACGTCCCCAGAGACTTCACTTCCTATGGGAAAGAGGCATTTGTTGACAACATCTCAGGGAAACCTGGCTTTGTGTTTATGATATCTACACATATTCCCTCTCCCAGCCCTCTGGAGCTTTGGCTTATTATTATTTTTTTTTTTCATTTCATTCCAAGGACATAGATGGGAAAGGAAAGTCCATAAAACCCACCTTGCTCTCAGTTTAGGGTTTGCTCTGCTCTAACCTATATAGGGACACTTGGCATTTTAGGGACCCACCTGAGACCCTGGCATGCTTAATCTTAGCCCGGTTAGTTACATGGACATTTAATTGAAGGTGTTTCAGAGGATGTGGAATAAGATTTTGAAGCCATTCTTTTCCAAGGAAAGGTGATGTCTCCAAAGGCTAGATTTTTCTTCCTTCCTTATCAGTCACACCAATTTGAGTCCTGATGGATGTCAACCCCAATGGGATAGAGTCTGTTTCATTCATTGCTGTGGCCCCAGTGCCTGGAATAGTGCCCAACACATGGTAGTTGAAAGAAAAATCTTGAAAGTTATTTGTTGAAATGTAAATGTTGAATGATGAATATTGTCAAATGCTCAGGCTGTGCCTAGTATTTCCATTAGTATCTAAAAATCTACACAAGAAGATGTTGGGAAATTGGTTGGATGGACTTGAAATTTAAAAAAAGGCATTCCTTTTTTCTTTTCTTTTCTTTTCTTTTTTTTTTTTTTTGAGATGGAGTCTTGCTCTGTCATCCAGGCATGAGTGCAGTGGCGCAGTCTCAACTCACTGCAACCTCCACCTCCCGGGTTCAAGCAATTCTCCTGCCTCAGCCTCCCAAGTAGCTGAGACTACAGGCACCCGCCACCACACCTGGCTAATTTTTGTATTTTTAGTAGAGGTGAAGTTTTACCATGTTGGCCAGGCTAGTTGCAAACTCTTGATCTCAGGTGATCCGCCCACCTCGGCCTCCCAAAGTACTGGGATTACAGACGTGAGCCACCGTGCCTGGCCATAAAACAGGTATTCTTAGAACTTCATCTGGCTTACATGAAAAATCAGCTCGTCTCCCTGTTTCCACTTTGCCTACTGTGAAAAAGGCTTTGGCTGTGTCATCCTTATGACCGTAGAGCGAGGACACCAGCACATTGCTTAACAGAGTGCTATGATACCTCCCAAAGAGTAACACATTTGTACGAGGCGCTCCTCAACCTCAGACCTAGCTCATTCCTTTTGGAAATGCAGATGCTTAAACTGGCAGAGATCATGATGTCTAGAGTTCGGTCCCTTGTTTCTGTCCTCTCCCAACAGAACAGAATTGTCATGGACTGGGTCATTCGGGCTAAATATTAGTCCCCACACTGGATAAATGTGGAAGTATTATAGACAGTGCTTACATGTGCTAGGTCGCCTCTTGAAGATGTACCCTGTATTAATGTGCAGGGGAAGAAAAATGCATATTTTGTCTCAGCAGTTCCATAGCATTCCTTTTATAGAACCGGATTCCAACAGAGTTTCAACATAAAAGTTATCTCTTAGGAAGGAGGCCCCACTTGAGAGCCAGGGGACCACAGGCAGGGAGTCCTAACCCCAAGTTCCATTCCCAGCCCTTCACACTGCCTGTAGTTATGTGACCCCGGGGGAAGGGATTCAACCTCCGGGACTGCAGCTTTTTTATCTATGAAATAACATCGGCTTCCTGCCTCCCAAGGATACCAGAAGGAAGAATGAGTTAACATTTACGTTGTACATTAGGAGCCTCCAAGGAAGGCCCTGAACAAGTAGGAAATATGATATCATAGGAAGAATGTCTTTTATTTTTGAGTTGCTTGTCTCCGTTTAGGTTTCCTGGGCCCATTCCCTGTATACAGTATTCAAATGTAAAAGAAAGTTGTGTTTTTTTTTTTTTTTTTTCGCTTTACCAAAAAAGTCAGCAAAGGGGAAAAAGAAAATCTTGAGCTCAACTCAGGTGGGATAACTGCATCATGGGTGCTGGGGTTTTTATTTGTTTATTCATTTGTTAACTCTATGGGAGGGGAATTTTGAGAGGAGGTAACTCGGTTGCCACTGGGAGAAGTATCTGACTTTGGACCATAGGTAAACAGTAGCAGATAAGCTCTACTATTGTTTTATTAAAATTTTTTTAATGTTTAACTTTTTGTGGGTACATAGTAGGTGTATATATTTATGGATTACATGAGATATTTTGATATAGGCATGCAGTGTGTAATACTCACATCAGGATATATAGGGTATTCATTCCCTCAAGCATTTATCCTTTGTGTTTTGAATAATCCAGTTATACTCTTAGTTATTCTTAAATGAACAATTCAATTATTTTTTTACTACAGTCACCCTGTTTTGCTAGAAAATACTGTATCTTTTTTATTCTTTCTAACTAGTTTTTGTACCTATTAACCATCCCCTCTTTCACCGAACCTAGGCTCTCCTACTGAAGAGCAATGATAGGCACAGATGGAGTGGCCCAAGTTGGGGGTTCATCGGGATGGGCAGTTCCTGGAGGGAAGAAATTGTGTCACGTCTGTTTCTATCTCCAGAATCTTTCCAGTGTCTGATATACAGCTGCGAATGAGTTTGGGTTGATTTAATGAATGAGTTAATGGGTCCGAATTGCAGCTTTATTCTTTGCCAGCTATGTACCCCCTTTCCTTCTCTATAAATTGGGGGTCATAACACCACCTTTGCAAGGCAGTCGTAAGGGCTGCATGAGTGAAACATGTGGCATCCTCAGCACACTAACACACAGTCACAGTAACCGCTGTGATGACTGGCAGCTCTCCCATCGTCAATGCCAGAAGACCCAGGGTAGTGCTATGGCAAGAGCGGGGATGAATTCCCATCCTGGTCTCATTAGATATCAGCTCCCGGAGAGCAATGATCTAGCCCTTTCGGAATTTGATTCCTAATCTGTATAACAGGCTGATGGAATTTAATCTAATTATCAGCTCAATCTCAAGAATATAGTCTAGTAGGATAGAGGGTCTTACAGGTCCTTTTAAAATCTTTTACTGTAACTACATCAGGCAAATACATAAATCATATTTATGAAACAAAGTGAATGACCAATAGCTACCACTGAAGTCAACCCAGCACCCCAAGAACCCATCATGGGCCTACAGCTCATTCATACTCTTCTTTCACTTAACGTTATATCACATGCATGCCTTTTAGAATGTTTAAAAATATGTTTGTGGTAAAATATTCAAATATATGAATGTGCTACAATTTACAAATCACTCCCTGTTTGTTGGCAATTTCAGTTGTTCCTACATAACTATATTAAGTTCTTATGAACGAAGATTTGTTTTATTCTCCTGATATGACTGTTGATTCTTGCACAATTACCACACTGTTTCAAGAATTGTAGCTGCATAATATACTTTTTAAATATCTGTAAGAAGAAATTACTTATGCCAATCCTCTTTCAAAAAATTCATAGCTATTTCACTTATTTAGTAAATTTTCTTCTCACTTTTATTTTGAAATATCCTCAAACTTAAAAAAAGTTGCAAGCCCAGTACCAACAAACCGCTATAGGATACTCATCATCTGCAAATACTTTAGTGTGTATTTCCTACAATCAAGGGCATAGAAATGGAAATAGCTTTGATATAGTACCACCATTGACATTTCAGTTCCCGTTCACATCTTGCCACTTGTCTCAATGAAGTCACTTAGAGCAAAAGGATCTAATTCAGAATTGTGTGTTGCATTAGTCTTTTGCATGCCTTTCTCTCTTTCTTTTCTTTTTTTTTTCTTTTTTTTTTTTCTTTTTTTTGAGACAGAGTCTCACTCTGTCGCCCAGGCTGGAGTGCAGCGGCACGATCTTGGCTCACTGCAAGCTCCGACTCCTGGGTTCCCGCCATTCTCCTGCCTCAGCCTCCCAAGTAGCTGGGATTACAGGTGCCTGCCACCACGCCTGGCTAATTTTTTGTATTTTTAGTAGAGATGAGGTTTCATAGTAGCCAGGATGGTCTCAATCTCCTGACCTTGTGATCTGCCCGCCTCAGCCTCCCAAAGTGCTGGGATTATAGGCATGAGCCACTGCGCCCGGCTTTCTTTCCTTTTCTTTTTTTTGAGATGGAGTCCCACTTTGTCACCCAGGCTGGAGTGCAATGGCGTGATCTCGGCTCACTGCAATCTCTACCTCCCGGGTTCAAGTGAGTCTCCTGCCTCAGCATCCTGAGCAGCTGGGATTACAGGTGTGTGCCACCACACCTGGTTAATTTTTGTATTTTCAGTAGAGATGGGGTTTCGCCATGTTGGCCAGGCTGGTCTCAAGCTCCTGACCTCAAGTGATCCCCCTGCCTCGGCCTCCCAAAGCGCTGGGATTACAGGTGTGAGCCACATGCCCAGCGATGCATGTCTTTTTCATCTCCTTCAATCTGGAACAGCTACAGGGTCTTTTATTGATTTTTGTGAACTTGATACTTTTGAAGATTATAGGCCAGTTATTTTGTAGAATGTTCCTCAATTTGTGTTTATCTGATATTTCCTCATGTTTACATTCACATTTTGCATCATTGGCAGGAGTATCACAAGGTGATGCTGTGTTCTCGGTATGTTTTATCAGCTGGTGCAAGATTCCAGTTTGCTCCATTACCATGACATTTACTTGGATTACCATGGTATCTGCCAGGATTCTCCATCTGTAATGTTCTTTTTCTCTTTGTGATAAATAAATATTTTATTGGCAGCTATTTGTAACTATGTAAATATCTCTAAACTGTTCTAATTATTCATTCTTGTATTTACTATTGTTGATTCATGGTTTTCTATTTTATTCTATGGGTTATAATTCATTATTAATTTAAACACATCACTGGGAGCCCCTTTAAGGGTTTGTGTGTGTCTGTGTGAGATATTTCCCAGTTCTTTCAGCACTCCCTTTCTTTTTGGCACAAAATGTTTGTGGCTAATCAGAATTTTCATGTCCACTCATCATCTACTCTCTGAAATCATCTATTTCTCCAGAGTCCTGGTTCTTTTTAATGGAGAATGATATTTAGAAACCAAAATCTGGCTGCTGGGTGCTTGCATTGCTTTTGGAGTGTTACTGCTCCTGGACCTTCTTGGTCGACAGAGCTAGGAAATATGTGTGTGTGTCCCAAAAGACTTAGTGCAGTTTTAATACTTCTGAATGTTTTAATAACTTCTGAAGAATAAATGTGATAAATTTACCAGAAAAATTTTGGAAATTATTTATACTCCTTTACACTTAGTTTTGTGAATTTTGAATATAAAAATTTTAAGTTTTTCTTTATTTTTTCGGCAGCAATAGAAAAATATTTTTCTTTGTGACAGTTTATTAGAATATTTTAATTTTTAGGTTCAGGGTACACATGCAGGTTTGTTATATAGGTAAACTTGTGACTTGGGGATCTCGGGTACAAATTATTTTGTCACCAGGGTACTAAGCATAGTACTCAACAGTTTTTTTGTTTGTTTTGTTTTTTTTAGACAGAGTCTCACTCTGTCCCCCAGGCTGGAGTGCGGTGGTGCAATCTCAGCTCACTGCAACGTCTGCCTCCCGGGTTGAAGTGATTCTCCTGCCTCAGCCTCCCAAGTAGCTGGGACTACAACAGTTTTCTTTTTTTTCTTTTTTCTTTTTCTTAATGAACTTCTCCCTCCTCCCACCAGCAGTATATAAGCATTCATTCTCTTTTCTCTACAACCTTGCCAGCATCTGTTATATTTTGACTTTTTAAATAATAGCCATTCAGACTCGTGCGAGATGGTATAATGTTGTGGTTTTGATTTGCATTTCTCTAATGGTTAGTGATATTGAGCATTTTTTCAAATGCTTATTGGCTGCAAGTATGTCTTCTTTTGAAAAATATCTGTTCATTTCCTTTGCCCACTTTTTACTGGGGTTCTTGTTTGCTTGTAGGTTTAAAGTTCCTTGTAGATTCTGGATATTAGACCTTTATTAGATGTATAGTTTGTGAATATTTTCTCCCAATCTGTAGGTTTTTTGTTTACTCTGTTGATAGTTTCTTTTGCTTTGCAGAAGCTCTTTAGTTAGGTCTCATTTGTCAATTTTTGCTTTTGTTGCAATTGCTTTTGGCATGTTCGTCATGAAATCTTTGCCAGTTTCTATGTCCAAAATGGTATTTCCTAGGTTATCTTCCAGGGTTTTTATAGTTTTAGGTTTTATATTTAGGTCTTTAATCCATCTTGAGTTGATTTTTGTGTATGGCGTAAGGAAGGGGTCCAGTTTCAATCTTCCACGTATTGCTAGCCAGTTATCCCAGCACCATTTGTTGAATAGGGAGTCCTTTTCCCGTTGCTTGTTTTTGTCAGCTTTGTCAAAGATCAGATGGTTGTAGGTGTGTGCCTTTATTTCTAGGCTCACTATTCTGTTCCATTGGTGTATTTGTCTGTTTTTGTGCCACTACCATGCTGTTTTGATTACTGTAGCCTTATAGTACTGTTTGAAGTTGGGCAATGTGATTCCTCCAGCTGTGTTCTTGCTTAGGATTGCCTTGGTTATTTGGGCCCTTTTTTGGTTCCATATACATTTTGGAATAGTCTTTTCCTACTTATGTGAACAATGTCAGGGTAGTTTGATAGGAATAGCACTAAATCTATAAATTGCTTTGGGCATTATAGCATTTTATATAGGCATTTTAATGATATTGATTCTTTCTATCTATGAGCATGGAATATTTTTCCATTTGTTTGTATCATCTCTGATTTTTTTGAGCAGCCGTTTTGTAATTCTTATTGTAGAGATCTTTCACCTCCCTGGTTAGCTGTATTCCTAGGTATTGTATTCTTTTTGTAGCAATTCTGAATGGGATTGTGTTCCTGATTTGGCTCTCAGCTTGAGTGCTATTAGTGTATAGGAGTGCTACTGATTTTTGTACACTGATTTTGTACCTTAAAACTTTGCTGAAGTTGCTTATCAGCTCAAGAAGTTTTTGGGGAGAGACTATGAGGTTTTCTAGATATAGAATCATGTCTTCTGAAAACAGGGATAGTTTGATTTCTTCTCTTCCTATTTCGATGCCGCCTTTGTCACAGGTTTTTTTTTTTTTTTCTTCTGAGACAGAGTCTCACTCTGTCATTCAGACTGGAATGCAGTGGCGCCATCTCAACTCACTGCAACTTCTGCCTCCCAGGTTCAAGCAATTCTCCTGCCTCAGCCTCCTGAGTAGCTAGGATGACAGGTGTGCACCACCGCGGCCCAGCTAATTTTTGTATTTTTAGTAGAGACGGGGTTTCACCATGTTGGCCAGGCTGATCTCGAGCTCCTGACCTCATGATCCACCCACCTCGGCCTCGCAAAGTGCTGGGATTACAGGCGTGAGCCGCTGTGCCCGGCCCTTTGTGACCGTTTTATAGATGAGAATTTCTGAGAGCAAATGAATTGGTAGAGGAAATCCACTTGCTTGACTACTCTGTCACCTGATTCATGCATGTTTTGGTGTGTAGTAATAGTTCATTGCTTACTATTGATGAGTAGTGTTTAATTGCAGGCCACGGTTTATTTTTTCATGTACCTGTGGATGGACACTTGGGTTGTTTCTAGTTTGGGGCTACTACAAATAAAGCTGCTACCGCCATTCATATACGAGTCTTTATATGGGATATGCTTTAATTTTCTCTAGTATATCCCTAGGAGTGGAATGGCTTAATCATATGTTTAACTTTTTAAGCAGCTGTCAAGTTGTTTTCCAAAGTGCTTTTACCATTTACATTTCCACCAGCAGTACATGAGAGTTCCAGTTCCTTCATGTTCTTGACAACACTTGGTATGGTCATTATCTTTAATTTTTGCTATTCAAGTAGATGTGTAGGAGTATCTCATAATGGTTTTGAGTTTCCCTAGTGACTAATGACTTTGAGCGTTTTTTCATGCACTTATTTGCCATTCTTAGCTTCTTTGGTGAAGTGTTTTTTAAATCTTCTGCCCATTTTTTATATTGGGTTGTTTGTTTTCTCATCATTGAGTGTTTTTTGTTTTTTTGTTTTTTTGAAATGGAGTCTTGCTCTGTCACCCAGGCTGGAGTGCAGTGGCATGATCTTGGCTCACTCCAAACTCTACCTCCCAGGTTCAAGCGATTCTCTTGCTTCGGACTCCCTAGTAGCTGGGACTACAGGCACATGCCACCACACCCTGCTAATTTTTGTATTTTTAGTAGAGATAGGGTTTCACCACGTTGGCCAGGCTGGTCTCGAACTCCTGACCTCAGGTGATCCAACCGCCTCAGCCTCCCAAAGTGCTGGGATTACAGGCATGAGCCAGTGCACCCAGCTATATCATTCAGTTTTGAGAATTCTTTATGTATTCTGAATATGTATCCTTTATCAGATATATGATTTGCAAATATTTTCATCCAGTCTATGGCTTGATATTTCATTCTTTTATTAGATATTTTGATGATGTCTAAGTTTTGTCTAACTCAAGTTAGCAGAGGTTTCCTCCTAGATGTTTTATAGTTTTAGGTTTTATATTTCGAGTTAATTTTTGTGTACAGTGATAGGTATGGGCTGAAATATTTTTCCCTCAATTGTTCTAGCACCATTTGTTCAAAAGGTCGTTCTTTTTCCAATCAATTTCCAATGAATTATCTCTGCAGCTTTTTAATAATCAGTTATCTATATATTTATGGGTTTATTTCTGGACTTCATTTTGTTCCTTTGACATAGGTATTTGTGTTTGCACCAAATCACACTTTATTGCTTACTATAGCTTTATAGTAGGTCTTGAAATCAGGTAATGTTAGCCTTCTGATTTTGGTCTTTATTTTCTAAGTTGTTTTTGGCTATTCTCAGTTCTCTACATTCCATATGGAATTTTGACTATGCTTATCAATTTTTATCAAAAAGTCCACTGGGATTTTTATTGAGTTTGCATTTAATTTGTAAATCAGTTTGGCTAGAATGAACATCTTAACAATATTGAGTCTCCCAACCTATGAAAAAAATATATATCTCCATTTTCAAAATATTCTTCAATTTCTCTCAGTAATGTTTTGTAGTTCTCAATGTATAAGTCTTTTACATATTTAATGAGATTTATTTCTAAGTATTTCATATATTTTGATGCCATTGTGAATGGTATTATTTTTAAAAATGTCAATTTCCAATTGTTGTTAGTAAAGAGAATACAATTGATTTTTGTATATTGATCTTGTATTCCACTTATTAAACTTGATTATGAATTCTAGTAGCTTTTTTGTAGATTCATTTGCATTTTCTAGACAGATGATCATGTCATGGGTAAATAGAATTTTACATCTTTTTTTCCAATCTGGATGCTTTTTATTTTATTTTATGGAATTATTGCACTAGAACCTCCAGTACTATGTTGAGTAGACGTGATGAAACTGAACATCCTTGTCTTGTTTCTGATCTTAAGGGAAAGCACTCAGTCTTTCACATTAAGTGAAAGGTTAGCAGTAGACTGCATAGATGCTTTTTATCAGGTTGAGAAAGTTCCCTTCTATTGCTAACTTACTGAGTTTTATCAAGAATTCTCTTTTTGTAAGCATATAACATATATTTCTAAGACTTGTGGGACAGATAAAAGTGTATATCCACAAATTCACATGCAACTATATTGATTTCTATATCTATTATTAAAATCTATGAATTCATGTTTCACCACCACAGGATCCATTGTAGTTTTCTTTCTTTCCATATATGTAACTCTCTTTTTTGATAGTGAGAAACTGGTTTCCATCCTCCTTAATAGATTTGCTTATTTGATCAACCTCTTGTGTGTAACTATTCTCCCATCACTACTCCCATCCCATAGCTCATGCCATGCCTTCCACATCACACTTGGAGTCTGGCATTCACCGCACTGCTGCTGCCTTCCCCAACATGGACATCCTCATTACCCTGCTTGGCCTCTGACTCCCTGGCTTGGGCTGCCCTTCTGCATGGACACTCATCTCACCCTAACCATGCTCTGATTCTCTGAACTGGGTCATGCCCTTTCACATGGAAGTCCCCTGTTCTTGCTCATGCACTGACATCCTTGTGGATGTTACCCCTATTGGCTTCTGAAACCCATGTTGGGCTGCATGCCTAGGAGGCCACTATTGCCTAGACACTGAGTCTCTGCAAATGCTGCCCTCCCACATGGTCAACCCCATAACAGGGTACCCTGTCATGGGGTTTTGGAGCCTGAGACCACATGACAGGCTCTTCTTTTCCAGGGACTCTCCTTAACCCTTCTTGGGCTCTCATATCCTATAGTGGGCCACTCCTCTGCATTGATGCCCTCACCCCTTGTGGTTCACACCTGCAGTAGGAAGCCCCAGACAGAAGCTCCTCCTATCTTGCATGTCTCTTCCATCTCTTATCCTGCCCCAGCTTGGAGACCTAACTTGTTTGGCCCCAGCTAAAGACTTTTAGAGTGGAGTTTTTCAGGAAGAGATAGAGAAGAAGAAAGAAGAAGAACTCACTCATTTATTTTTCATGAATAACTTAAAATATTTTTTACATAACTAAAATATTTTCCACTATTTTGTATTAGGATTTTAAAAAAATTATTTTGGGAAGAAAGGACATATTTGACCATACTTGGTCTATCTTTAAGAGAGGGTAGCTCCATTATTGCTTCAGAAGTGTCTTTTATAAGGCAATTGTAGTCATAATTAAGTTCAACTAGTGGTATAACCAAGGTAAAAGCTCAGCATGTTCCGGGAGACAGGTACACACTATAATCCAGGAGGAAATAGCCCAGACACTAAAGAAATTGCAAGACTGCCTATATATATCAGCAGACTCCAGGCAGAACCAAAGTGGGCAGAATATAATACTAGTTTTGGCAAAATTTATTGTTTTGATGCGTTTGAGAGTATAAATTTAATATACTTCTAGAGGTGACTCTAATAGCTTACTTGATTGGTTGACTACAATTTGAAGGAATTCCATGCTGGCTGAGATGCCAGAGCTTCCCTGAAACAATGTAAAGGAGGGAATCCAAAGGCTTAGGGAATTAGGAAGGTTGAACTGAATACTCGATGTGTGACCTGCACAGCCACCTGCCAACTACATTCCACAAGATGACCCAGAGGTATTTCCTTCACGACAGCAATGAGAAATATATTAATGAAGGAAGTACTGCATCCTTGAACATCTCTGTGGTTTCTCCTCTTTCTAGAAAAGTTATGACTCTAGTACAGGATGATGCCATCGAAAAGGGGTCAAACGGCAGCACTTAACTGCCAAAGGGAAGGTAAGTACCTCTACCGTAAAGGTCGGGAGGGGCATACTAGTAATCAGAATGTTTCGATTGGCAGAGATCTTTGACAGTGGATAGTTGATCATGATGTCTCTTGAAAGTAAATATGTGGGCAACCTGTGGGTGTAGTGCCTGATCTATGTAACAGCAAAAACTCTGGTAGCTGAAAACCTGACTTGAATTCCCACAGAGAGGAACTGAAGCCCCTTACCTAGCTTTTAGACATAAGTAAATTTATAGACACAGAGCCTTTTGACTGAAAGGTAAGCCAGGTGCCCTTGAGGAAGGACCCTGCACCATTGCCACATGCACACACCATAAATCCTCCTCTAAGACTTCTCCAAAGGGACCAAAGTTGACAACTGACAAACCCCCACATTTTCTCTCTGACCCATGGGTGATGGCTTTTATTGTTGGAAGGACTAAGCAGAAGCTCCTAGAACTTTCATTTCTACCAAGAGAATAAATCAGAAGCAATATTGCATCCCTGAGGGGATTGCAAAAATCCATGCTGCCATCAAAGACTTGAAAGAAGTGGCGATAGTTATCACATCTCCACTGAACTCATCAGTTGGGCTGTGCAAAAGTTGCATGGGTCTTGAAGAATGACTGAAGACTACTATGAACTTAATGAGGTGGTGGCTAAAATTCCAGCTGCTGTCCTAGATGTAGTATCTTTCCTGGAGCAAATTGATATGTCTCCCAGCATTTGCTTCGTAGCTACTGACCTGCCCTTTTCTCCTCACTGATTTGCAAGGATTGCCAGCAACGGTTTGCATTTACCTGTCAGGGCTAACAGTATACTTTCAGTTTTGCCTCAGGCTATGTCAATTCTCCTGCTCTCTATCACATTTATTCTGCAGAGATGTTGATTGTCTTGACGTTCCACAAAACATCACATTGGATTACCTCATGGATGACAGTATGATGAATGGATCTGATGTTCATGAAACACCATATACTTTAGAGGCCTTGGTAAGATATAAGGTGGGAGATAGGCCCCACAAAAATTCAGGGACCTGCCACCTCAGTATGGTTTCTGGGGGCTCAATTGTCACTCCTCCAAGGCAAAAGGAAAGTTGCTGGTCCTTGGATGATCTAAATGGGAAAAGAGGGAGAATGTATGTTCAGCCTTTTTGTATTTAGGAGGGAACATATGCCACATTTAAAAATGCTTTTTGAATTCATCTATAGAGTTATCTCTAAGGCTGCCAGTTTCAAGTGGTGTTGAGCAAGTTCTGAGAAGTCTCTGCAGCAAGTTCAGGCTGTGTACAAGTCACTGTATCACTTGAGCCTTATTATCTAGAAGGTCCAGTGATAAAGTATTTATGGCAAACAGGAATGTTGTATGGAGTCTTTAGAAAGCACCAGAAGGAAAATCACAGCACAAAACTCTGGGGTTTTAGTGCACATCTATGCCTTATTCTGGATATGGCTGTTTGCCTTTTGAAAAATAGCATCTCCCTTGCTACTAGGCTGTGGTAGAGATTGAATGCCTAACCATGGTATGCTGGGTGACTATGTAATCTGAACTTCTCATCATGAATTGGGTGTTGTATGACCCTCCTAGACATAAGGCCATGTGTGCGCAGCAGCAATCTACCATTAAATGGAAATGGTATCCAAGAGACTGGGATTGGGCAGGTCCAGATGGTGCAAGCAAGTTGCATGGGCAAGTGGCTTAGATTCCTTTGACTCTGAAGGTACGTTGCCTCTTCCACTCATATGGTTTATGGCCTCTTGAAGATACTCCAGTTGAATGAGGAAGAAATAACAAGACTGGTTTGAAGATTTTTCTGTATTACACACAGATATTACTCAGTTTCACTCATGGGTGATCCTGAAGGACACTGGTGAAGAAAAATTCTCCCAGTCGATAGAACTTTGAGCAGCAGATTTTGTTGTATGCTATGTCTAGACTAAGAGAGGGCTGGGAGTACACATGGACACTGATTCGTGGGCAGTTGCTAGTGGTTTGGTTGATGGTTAGGGACTTGAAAGAAATAGGATCAGAAGATTGATGACAAGGACATCTTGGGAAGAGGTGAATGAATGGACATCTTATAACGGTTACCAAGTGTGAAGATATTTGTGACCCATGTGAATGATGACCAAAGTGCATTCAGTGGAGGGGAAGTTCTTAGTGATTAGGTGGGCAATTGATGTACTCAGTGGGTGTCTGTCAGTCTCTTTTCTTGGCCACTCTACTGCTTACTCAATGAGCCCATAAACAGAGTGGCCATGGTGGCAGAAACAGAGGGTATTCATTGCCTCAACAATGTGGACTTCCTCTTACCACGGCTGGCCTAGCTAACACTACTACTACTGCTGAGAGCCTAATATGTCAACAATAGAGGCCAACATGGATCCCCTAATGTGGCCCCATTCACCTGGGGAACTAGTCAGCCACCTGGTGGCAGGTTGATTCCATCGGACCTTTTCCATCTTGGGGTGGGGGGTGGGGGTCAGAGATTTGTCCTCACTGAAATAGACACATTCTGGACACGGATATGCCTTCCCTGCCATAATGCTTCTGCCAGTAGCACCATCTATGGACTCATGGGGCACCTTATCCACCATCATGGAATTTCCCATAGTGATGTTTCTGATCAATGATTCCCACAGCATTGCTTCTTTCACAGCAATGAAGTGCAGCAGTGGTCTCAAGGCCATAGAATTAACTGGTTTTACCACATGTCCCATCACCTGGAAGCAACTGGACAAATTTTGAAGGATGTAACAGTTTAGTGAAGACTTAATTATAGTGTCAGTTGGGAGTCACCACACTGAAATGATGGAGTCCATCTTAAAGTGTACTTACTGTGTGTGCTTTGAAACAGAACATACATATACGGTACTATCCACCCCACAGCCAGGACATATAGGTCTCGGAATCAAGAGATGGAAGTGGCTCATGTCACTATTAAACCCAATAATTCACTCACAGAAGTTTTGTTTCCCCTCCTGGCTACCTTGAGCTCTGCTTGTTTGGAAGTCTTAGTCCCCAAAGAGGAACTGCTCACTACGGTACACTGCAATGGCTCAATCAGGAAGAGAAACCCAATCAGTGAGGCACTCTGCCAGATCTTACAGGGGAGAAAAGCATGACTGATGTGTCTGCTGAATCCATGAGGACGATTTCTTGCAGGTGCTCACTTCTGCAAAATACACTGTGGGAAGTATTGGAAGAGTTTTGATTCTGTCAAGTTTATACAACAAGAGAAAAAACAGCCATGTTTGCTGATTTTTATTTATTTGCTCACCTATGTGGAAAGAAAAGAGAGGGCCTTACAGTCTTTTGGGGTAGACAAATCTTTTCCAGGCCTTCAAGACACTTGAAGATGCAGTTAGTAAGAAAAACTTTCTTACTATCTTATCTGATGAGTTACAGTATAGGACTAAAATAGAGCAGGGATTCTGGGTCATACAAAATTAATGTTAGGTCAGTTGCACACTCCTTGAGCCATCATTGGTGACTCTGCTAAGGTTTTCTCTTAATTTGCTCTGTGTATATCCTGGTTAAAGGGCCGACCTGTGTCTTTAGAGCATTTCCTATATTTGGCCCTATTCTAGTGTTGTAGTTAAGTACATGGATCTGGAGTCTGATTGCTGGGAGCTGAATCCTAGCTTGGTCAACTTGTAGCTTTGTGATCTTTGGTGTCAATTAACTTCTCTGTGCCTGTTATCTGTAAAATGAGGATAATAGTTATATCTACTTCAGAATATTGTTTGGAGAATTTATTAAGATGACATATGTACAGTCCTTACAACAGTGATTGGCCCATGGTCAACAATGACTAAGGTTTAGCAATTCTTATTATAACTTGGCAGTGTGTGCTGTGAGTCTGCCTGCCAGGAATATAAACCATTTGGGATCCCTGCTCTCTTTCTCTAGCAAACCTGCAGAACACCTGCTAAATAGCTCATATAGACTGAATTATGTCTCCCCTCCCACCTCCAAATTCATATGTTGAAGTGCTAACTCCCTAATGTGACTGTATTTGGAAATAGGGTCTTCAGGCAGGTAATTAAATGAGGACATAAGGGTGGGGTGATAACCCCATAGGACTAGTGACCTTGTTAGAAGAGGAAGAGACCAGGGCTCACTCTTTCTCCATCACACACAGAGAGAAGGCCACGTGAGGACACAGTGAGAAGGTGGCCGTCTGTAAGCCAGGAAGAGAGGCCTCACCAGTAACCAACCCTAGCACTTTAATCTTGGACTTCCTGCCTCCAAAACTCTGAGAAAGTAAGGTCTGTTATTTAAGCCACCAGACTAGAGTATTTTATTATGGCAGCCCTGGGAGACTAATAGCATTATGAAATTGCATAATTTAAATATTCAGGGTGGATGTGGGGGCTCACGCCTGAAAGTTCAGCACTTTGGGAGGCTGAGGTGGGAGGATCGATTGAGCCCAGGAGTTTGAGACCAGCCTGAGCAACATAGCCTGTCTCTACTAAAAACAAAAAATTATCCGGGGTGGCAGTGTGCTTGTATTCCCAGCTACTTGGGAGACTGACCTGGGAGGATCACCTGAGCCCAGGGGAGGTCGAGGCTGCAGTGAGCCCTGATGGAGCCACTGTACTCCAGCCTGGGTGACAGATATAGACCTTGTCTCAAGAAAAAAACAAAAAACAAAACAAAAAACCTGTTGCCTTTAGAGATAAAGATGGAACTGTGGAGTCAGTATCCTCAAATTCACTCACTGATGTGAAAAGCTGTTTGGGATTTACTTCTGAATGTATTTCTCAGGTGTACAGTGTTTAGAAAATGGAATCAGGGATTATGGAAACCAAGAAAATCAGGGCCAAATGATTGCTTTTTGGAATCTTTTATCAAAGCTTTTCTAAGATCTTCATTAAATAACTAGCAAATCTGAGAGAGCACGAGATCTCAGCCCACACTGAATTTCCTAATCTCTGGGAATATAAAGTCAGATTTGGTTTCTATGTATTTTTACTCTGAAATGTAGAGAAAATGTAAAAACTTAGGCAGTAATCGTGCAAATTAAGAGTCATTCTTTAATGAATGCCTTGCGTTTGCAAACAGGCTTTACGCCTGGCAAGCTCGGACCACGTCCATCGTGGGGCGCCAGGAGATTGCTGGGCCACTGTCCCCAATTCAGGGCTGGGTCCCGGCGTCCCCGCGTTCTCCGAGTCCCTGGTCCCCGCCCCAGCCGGCGCCGGGACCCGCCCGACTCCCCGCCCCTCCCCCGCCCACGCCCCAGCCGCAGGGGGCAGGGCGGGAGGCGGGCGCCCGGCGCGTCCAGTCCCCGGGACCCTTTTAAAGCGTGGCGCGCCAGGGCCGGGCATGCCGAGCCCCGTGGCGGAGACAGCGGTGCGCTCAGCTCCCGGGAGCGGCCCGAGCAGCCGAGCGCCCAGGGCTGCCCTTCCCGGGCCGGCGGGCTCCCCGGGCTCCCCGCCGCCGCCCCGTGCGCCCCGGGAGGGCCCGGCATGCTGCGCCAGCTGCTGCTCGCCGCGCTCTGCCTGGCGGGTCCCCCAGCGCCCGCGCGCGCCTGCCAGCTGCCCTCCGAGTGGAGGCCCCTGAGCGAGGGCTGCCGCGCCGAGCTGGCCGAGACCATCGTGTACGCCAGGGTGCTGGCGCTGCACCCCGAGGCGCCCGGCCTCTACAACCACCTGCCCTGGCAGTACCACGCCGGCCAGGGGGGCCTCTTCTACTCGGCCGAGGTCGAGATGCTGTGCGACCAGGCGTGGGGCAGCATGCTGGAGGTGCCCGCCGGCTCCAGGCTCAACCTCACCGGCCTGGGCTACTTCTCGTGCCACTCCCACACCGTGGTCCAGGACTACTCCTATTTCTTCTTCCTCAGGTGAGCCCGGCGGCGCCGCCGCCACCTCTCTCTCTCTCTGCGCCACCTCCCGAGGTCGCCGTTACCTAGAGCCAGGCCGGTAACTCCCCGGGCAGCCTGTCGGTGTCAAGTGAGAATGCCCCTGGGGCGCCTACCCCTTGCCTTCTTGGATCTTTCTTGCTCCGTCTGACGTCTCTACAGACATCCTGACTACCCCTGGTTAAGGCGGTTTAAAAGACAGGGAAGGTTTCTGTGCCTTGTACACAGAAGAGCATTGCAGACAGAAGCTCAAAGCGCCCTCCAACAGTCCCTTTGACTTGGGTTTTTAAACTGGCCTCAGTGGGAGTAGATTGGGACGGTGAGAAAAACAATCTTTGAAATCAGTCTGTGGCTGGCATTTTGGCTCTGCCCTTCCTAACCGTGATTCTGAGCGCATTTCTTGACACCTTCTCAAGAACTTCCATAGCCTCACCTGTGTAAAGTGAGAGACAGGGCTGGTTGAGTGAGGAACGTAACTCATGCAAAGCACCTGGTGCAGGTTAGAAGTTGACCAGCTGTCCACTCTCTCCTCTTCCTCATTTGCTCAAATGCCAAGATGTGAATGGTGTGGAATGTAGCCCGGGATTGCTTCACTGTCTCATATCAGCTGCCAGGTTCTTTGAAATAGCAAAGGTTTACTAGGGCTTGGGGTTCTGCTGCTGGTAAAATCCTGGGTAGCAATGCTTTGAGGAGTGGAGAGGTGAACCAGGCCAGGAGGTCCTCTTTGATTATAGACCACTGGAATCTTCTGAAGTTCCATGAACTTCAGAACTTGGCCTGTGGTCAAGATGGAATGCATCTGCCTAAGAATTCAGTCAATTCTCATTGACTACTGAATTCTTCTGAAATTTGAATAGAGAGTGCCAGGTAGAACTCTAAATTCTTTGGTTAGCTTCAGTTGGAATTTGGAGAGTGATATAAAACAACTGAGAAAAACATCAAAATGGAATCTAACCTATCTATCAAGATAGTAAATTAATCCACTGTTGGGGTGATCGGTTGTAGTTCGTTTTCCCAGTCTGGGAAGTAGCACTGAGGATATTTGGAATGAGGCTGACGTGGGTCTGCAGATTCACTTTTAGCTCGCATTTCTCTGAGAAAGAAAACAGTTCTACAAAGTGGTGTTTGTAAGTGCATGGCAACACATGTTTTCCATATTGAAGCCAGAATATCTAAGTTTAAAAAACACGTCTTGCTTTGTGTTGGCTTGAGTGGTTCAGCTAGATTAAGTTTTTATATATATGTATGTATTTCCAGAGAAGTGTAGTTTCTAAATAAAGCCAGTGAGACTGAGAGAGTGCCCTTCTCGATACAGAGAAACTTAGGGTTTCATGTTTTTAATTAGGAAAGATACTGAGAAACCATCTATAAAACTATTCAAAACCAGAACTTTGTTCTCCAAAGGAAAAAGAGCCCAAGTGTTTGAGCAGGCTTTTTAAAGAAATTTTTATCATGAAATACAGTTTGTCCAATAGTTCCGTGGTGCTCAGCCAATTCTCATCTTTTTTGCTCTACCATGTTTACAAAAGTTAGGGCAGAAATACAAAGACAGTAGTCTGACATTTTCATTTCACAGGGCTGTCTTGCCTTGGAGTGTGTTAACAACTACACACAAATCATTCCTTCTCTGTTATTCTGGGACCCACTGAGATGAAACTGGACCTGTGGTCACTGTCAGGGGTGAGGGTGGCAACGGAGACTTGCTGGTGAGCCCTACGTGTTTTCTGTAGACTGGAGTGTAACTTTCATCTCTTTCTTTTTGTGACATTTTAAAGAATCATTCTAATTGATTAATGCTAGGCCTTTAAATGTGTTCACTAACATGCATACTGCATTTACTTTGTACCAAGTGCTTCATTTACTTAGGTTTTTGATGCAATGCTTATGACATCACCAGAAAAGTAGGTACTATTTTTTACTTATATATGTTCTTTTTTTGAGATGGCGTCTCACTCTTGTCACCCAGGCTGGAGTGCAATGGTGCAATCTCTGCTCACTGCATCCTCCGCCTCCTAGGTTCAAGTGATTCTCCTGCCTCAGCCTTCTGAGTAACTGGGATTACAGGTGTGTGCCACCGTGCCCAGCTAATTTTTGTATTTTTAGTAGAGACAGGGTTTCACTGTGTTGGCCAGGCTGGTCTCGAACTCCTGACCTTAGGTGATCCACCTGCCTTGGCCTCCCAAAGTGCTGGGGTTACAGGTGTGAGCCACCGCACCTAGCCAGTACTATATTCTTTTTGCAGATTAGAATACTGAAGCTTAGAGGAGTTAAGACATTTGTTTCATGTCATACAGAAGATAAATAGCAAAGACAGAACTTAAACATAGGTGATGACAGCTGGCCTTTTTTTCACCAGGAAATAAGGAACACTCTTTGAGAAGGAAGACCCCTTGGGGGACTTGGAAGACAACACAAATAGACAAACAGGCACCATACACATAGTTTTCTCCATACTTTGCTCAAACTCATCTTTTTGAAAACCTTAAGGATAGACTGATGTAGCGTGAGACAAAGAAATAATTAGAAGTAGTAACTCCTCTAATGAGAGCCATGCCAGACATTGATGTGAAATTGGCAAGCCCGTTGCAGTTGTCTGTGACTCTGGATTGGAGCTGGTACACCCTTGACTGTCTAGCCTACATGTCTGCCTTTTTTTCCTCCATTAGGATGGATGAAAATTATAACCTCTTGCCTCACGGAGTCAATTTCCAAGATGCCATCTTCCCAGACACTCAAGAGAACAGAAGGATGTTTTCTAGCCTTTTCCAGTTTTCAAACTGTTCGCAAGGGCAGCAGCTGGCGACTTTCTCCAGTGACTGGGAAATCCAGGAAGACAGTAGGGTAAGAATTGGCTAAATCCTGTGCCACAGCAAAACAATAGTATAGCTACACCTTGTGTGAATTTTGTGACCAAAGGAATCAAGAATACTCTTCCAAAAGCCCAGATCAGAGAGTATTAGCGTATGCCCTCTCTCTCTCCTGCTATCCCTCCTTACCTCCCAGCTGTTAAAAAAGACCATTCATAAACTTTGGATCCCTGAAGCTTTACTGTTGGATAAGGAGTTCTTCCCAAAGTATGAGAACAAGATGAGATGAAGATTGGCATGCTGAGCCTCAGTTTCCTCTTCTACAGAACAGGGACAATAGTAGCATCTATATCAGGCTTGTCCAACCTGCAGCCCAGGACAGTTTGAATGTGGCCCAACACAAATTTGTAAACTTTCTTAGAACATTACGAGATTTTTCTGCAATTTTTTTTTGCTTATCAGCTATCGTTAGTGTTAGTGTATTTTATGTGTGGCCCAAGACAATTCTTCTTCCAATGGGGCCCAAAAGATTGGACACCCCTGATCTATGTCAGAGGGCTAATGCAATATGATTTAAATATGTAAAAACTATAATTATGTAAATCCGTTAGCGTAATGCTTAAAAGAGTAAGTGCTCAATACATGTGAGCCGTTACGACTGTTCCTGACTGTGTATGATTGTCATGGACAGCACAGGGCCCTAAGAAATTGTCTTAGAGGAAAGGAAAAGTGCTGAGGGAAATGAAATGAAATTGCTATCATAGCTACCACTTCTGTGATTCTTAACTATAGTTGGTAAGACATAGAGGTGCAGGATGGCCAAGGTGGTTGCAAAATGTAAGGGTCGGGATCGTAAGGGTTGGGAATGAAAATATAAAAGAGTCTTCCGATCTGGGCCAAATGCCAGAGTTGGAGGAACATTTTGATGATCATCACTCTTCCAAAGCAATGGGCTTTGCCACAACCAAGTTGGGATGATAGTGGGGGCCAGGCCAGTCTAGGCCTCTGGGGCTGTGACCCATCTCTTCCGGTCCCCGATTGAAGACATTTTTAGGGCAATGTGACACACTGCTGGAGAGAGAGTTCTGATGTGGGTATCACATGGAATAAGGACTTTTTTTTTTTTTTTCCATTAACGAACCCATTTGCACATGTTAAGAGACTCCCTTCTTTCCACCCATCAAGAAGGGTTTGAGGGAAGTGTCTTTCTCTTGTCTGGTGGGATGGCCTAGGGTAGCTGCCTTGTTCTTCCGAATCCCCTTATTGTCTTTTTTATTTTGTTTTCCTTCCAACTTTTATTTTAGGTTCAGGGGGTACGTGTGTAGGTTTATGACGTGGGTAAATTGCGTGCCACTGGGGTTTGGTATACCAATCGTTTCGCACCCAGGTAGTGAGCACAGTACCTGAGAGGTAGTTTTTCCATCCTCACCCTCCTCCCACCCTCACGTAGGCCCCCGTGTCTATTGTTGCCATCTTTGTGTCCATGTGTACTCAATGTTTAGCTCCCATTATAAGTGAGAACATGCAGTGTTTGGGTTTCTGTTCCTGCGTTCATTTGCTTAGGATAATGGCCTCCAGCTGCATCCATGTCTGCAAAGGACAGGATTCAAACCCGCTTCAAAGGGAGATTCAAAGGGAGCTTCTCCCAGGGCTCCCTGGACCCTGGAGGCCTTCTTCATGCTCTTGCACAGAAGCTATTCCTGTGAAGGGCTGGTACGTCCAACTAAGGGAAAGGATTTCTTCTTCTTTGACATATGTCTGTAATCCCAGCACTTTGGGAGGCCGAGGTGGGGGGATCACCTGAGGTCAGGAGTTCAAGACCAGCCTGGCCAACATGGCGAAACCCTGTCTCTACTAAAAATACAAAAATTAGCTGGGCAGAGTGGTGCGTGCTTCTAATTCCAGCTACTCGGGAGGCTGAGGCAGGAAAATCGCTTGAACTCAGGAGGCGGAGGTTGCAGTGAGCCGAGATCACACCATTGCACTCCAGCCTGGGCGACAGAGTAAGACTCCATCTCAAAGAAACAAACAAACATACATTCCTCAGCTCTGCCCTACTGACAGCAGTCTAGACTTTTCTAACCCCTCCCTGATGGTTAGAAAGTTAGAACTTTCTGAACGCTTCTCATGTAGTTTGCTCCCAATGTGGTTCTAAGCACCTGTTTTTATTCTTCCTTTTCTCCTTCTTAATCATTACTGTTGCCTACTCCATATTGAGTTGGACCCAGCAAGTCTAAGCCTGAGCATCCCAAGCCCGAGTCATACTTAATTTCTTCCAAGCGAAGGCTTTTTAGGCTTGGCCCTTTTGTTCCCCATCTTGTGGGAGCTTTGTTTATATGACTATATAATAGATTTATGTCAAGAGATCAGATATTATTCTGATCTTTAATAGGTTAGCCCTTAAAATCTTAAGCTACATAACTTCTTAGCACTATGGTCACAATCTAGCTACTAACATTTTTCTGGAATTAGATTTTTCCATCATTTGGGAAAAACAAAGAACAATGGGACCGTGGAGAATTGTTTCAGCCTGAAGGCAGATCTATTTCTGTTGATCAGATGTTGATCTTGGGGGAGAATTCCTTTTCCCTTTCCCTTGAATCACCCTGGCCTCTTAGATAACAAAGTGTGGGAGCATTCCAGGCTCAGAGAAAAAGTGGAAACTTGAGGTGAGGAAGATCATTATTTCACTTTGCTGAGCTGCTGTGGAGCAGAATTTAGTTCAATCTGAGGGACTCTGCACGTTTCCAGACCTCTGCTTGTGCCGTTTTTACTCCCTACCCACTTTGAAAGGGACCACATCAAAGCTACATAAAATTAGCCCATTGTGGGCTGATTGCAGTGGCTCACGCCTGTATTCCCAGCACATTGGGAGGCCGAGGTCGGCGGATCACTTGAGGTCAGGAGTTTAAGACCGGCCTGGCCAACATGGTGAAACTCCATCTCTACTAAAAATACAAAAATTAGCTGAGGATGGTGGTACGCGCCTGTAATCCCAGCTACTTAGGATGTTGAGGCAGGAGAATCATTTGATCTTGGGAGGCAGAGGTTGCAATGAGCAGAGATCGTGCCACTGCACTCCAGTCTGGGCAGCAGACCAAGACTCTGTCTCAAAACAAAGCAAAACAAGAAAAATTAGCCCATTAGTTTAAAACTTAATTTGAAATTAAAATTACATTGACTTTTTAAAGTTTTCTGATGCTCCCTAAGATATTTTTACATACCCTGGAGTGATTAAAATAGTTGTGAATTATTGACTACTACTTGCTTCTTTTTTTTTTTTTTCTTTTGAGATGGAGTCTCACTCTGTAGACCAGGCTAGAGTGCAATGGCATGATCTCGGCTCACTGCAATCCCCACTTCCGAGGGTTCAAGTGATTCTCCTGCCTCAGCTTCCCAAGTAGTTGGGATTACAGGTATGTGCCATCACACCTGGCTAATTTTTGTATTTTTAGTAGAGAGGGGGTTTCACCATGTTGGCCTGGCTGGTCTTGAACTCCTGACCTCAGATGATCCACCTGCCTCAGCCTCCCAAAGTGCTGGGATTACAGGCGTGAGCCACCGTGCCTGGCCTACTTGCTGCTTTTTTCTTAAAAAAACCCAAAAACTTTAAGCGTTTCTTTTTCTGTGGGAAGGCAAGCATCAAATTATCCTACCCAGGATAAATACACCATGTTATGTCAGAAGCAGTCAACATTGTTCCTTAACCTTAGGGGAGGGGTCAGAATTGCTGTTATGATCACTCTTTTATTCCAGTAAGAATAGATGTTAGACTTTTGTTAATCAGAACACGCTAACACTCCGCATATTCTAAGAGCAGTTATGAAGGGCCTGGGACTTTGCTTAGGATACTTTCTTGTATTATGTGCCGATCTTCAATTACAGACCCTGCAGGCATCCCATGTGCTCCTGGACTTTCTAGGTGCTGGGTGCTGGGTGCTGGGTGTTTTTTTTTTTTGTTTTGTTTTGTTTTTGAGACGGAGTCTTGCTCTGTTGCCCAGGTTGGAGTGCAGTGATGCAATCTCGGCTTACTGCAGCCTCTGTCTCCCAGGTTCAAGTGATACTTCTACCTCAGCCTCCCAAGTAGCTGGGATTACAGGCACCCACCACCATGCCCAGCTAATTTTTGTATTTTTTGTAGAGATGGGGTTTCACCATGTTGGCCAGGCTGGTCTCGATCTCCCAGCCTCAAGTGACCCTCCTGCCTTGGCCTCCCAAAGTTCTGGGATTACAGGCGTGAGCCACCATGCCCCACCTCTAGATGCTGTTGATGCTGCTGTTCTTTAAGTTTCCATTCAGCTTGGACAGTGGATCTGGACTGTAGATATGAAGGGCACATTTCATTCTCTTCCCTGATAGTTCTCACTTTCTCTCTGTTGGAGGATCTGGGACTCTAGGGTCGATTTGGAGGGTAGGAGATGGAAGAGGGGGAAATCTTACGGAGGGAAACTTTTGCAAAGCATATGCAGGGTGACATTCAACTCAGTCCTTGGGAGCAAAGTCCTCCCACACTCTGGTTCCTTTCCAGCACCTCTCCATCTTCAAATATCCCACCCACGCATTAGTAAATAGCAACGGGATCTTTCTTTCAAAAGCTGCCAAGATGTCAGCAGTGTTAGTACGTGTTCACCGCCTCTCTGGTTCGGTGTCATGGTGTTAATAGGACTTGGGGGGATATCTTTGGCACGTTGGAACATCCACCAGATTTACTGGCAGATTTCTTTCCACACCAGCCAAGGACATTTTTCCTTCCTCATTTCTCTCTTGCTGGACAAGTGCAACAGTCAAAACAGAATTTGGATATTTTTCCCTCTCTGCCGTTACTGTCCCCTAGGACCAAGACCCAGACTGACCCATACTTATGTCAGTCTGTCATAAAATGTCATGGAATGGAAGGAAAATCTGTGGAGATCTTGCTATCATTTTCTTCTTTCTTCTTTTGGAGTTGGGAAGGATGATAGGGGTGTTACCCTTCTCTAAGCTCAACTTGTAATCAGAAGACCTTGATCGGCTCTGCCATTTCCAGAGGAATGACCGTGGGCAGATCCCCTAACTTCCCACAACTTCAGTTTTCCCTTCTATAAAATAGAACCTAGAACAGATAAACTGTCTCAGGGTATTGTCTCAGGACCTAATTAGAACATACTTTTGAAAACACTTTCTAGAGTGATGCAAGGGCTTATTACTGGAAGCTGATTATTCTCAAGTATTGCTTTAAAAACCACATTGAAAAAGAATTTGAAAAGCTGCCTGCTCCCGTCCAGGGGGTCCTGAAACATCCCATGGAGTAGTGGCAACATCAGTAGTAACAGGGGTTTGTGCTGGAGATGGGAACGGATGGAAGGGAAGCTATCTTCTGCACTTTTTTCATTCAACAGAATCGATTGGGTTCTGTGCAAGGATGACATTTAAAAATATAGTGTATTGAATTATCAACAGATAACACACTCACGTGGGGTCTCTACTACCTCTGACACCCATCCACCCAGTCCCCACAAATCCTCCAAATAAGTAGCCACTGTTACTAGTTTCCTTTATAGACAGTCAGTGGTGTTTTAAAAATCATTATTTCAGTCAGTTCTAGGGAACAGGTGGTGTTTGGTTGCACGAATCAATTCTTCAGTGGTAATTTCTGAGATTTTGGTGCACCCATCTCGTGAGCAGTGTATACTGTACCCAGTGTGTAGTCTTTTTTATCCCTCACCCTCTCCCACCCTTCCCACCGAGTCCCCAGAGTCCATTCTTAATCTTATGCCTTTGCGTCCCCATAGCTTAGATCCCATTTATGAGTGAGAACATAAAATGTTTGATTTTCCATTCCTGAGTTACTTCATTTAGAATAGTGGTCTCCAGTTCCATCCGGATCTCTGCGAATGCCATTATTTCATTCCTTTTTATGGCTGAGTAGTATTCCATGACATATATAAAATACATTTTCTTTATCTCAATGGAGTTGTTGGTTTTGTTTTGTTTTGTTTCTTTTGAGATGGAGTCTTGGTCTGCTGCCCAGGCTGGAGTGCAGTGGCGCAATCTCAGCTCACTGCAACCTCCGCAGTGAGGTTCAAGCGATTCTCATGCCTCAGCCCCCTGAGTAGCTGGGACTACAGGCGCCCAGCACCACGGCCAGCTGATTTTTGTATTTTTAATAGAGATGGTGTTTCACCATGTTGGCCAGACTGGTCTCAAACTCATGACCTCAAGTGATCTACCCACCTCAGCCTCCCAAAATGCTGGGATTATAGGTGTGAGCCACTGCAGTTGGTCCTCAATGGAGTTTTTGTTTTTTCTTTCTTTTTTTTTTTTTAATCCAAATATGTGTTATTACCACCGTCTTTGACACAAATGGCAACACACTGTGTACACTTCACTACACCTTGCTTAATTCATGAGTAGATCTGGGAGATCTTTCCATATGCATGGCCTGAGGGCTAGACTGGGTGAGAAAAAAAGATAAGAAAGAGACAGAAAACAAGGCCTTTGTCCATAATAAGGATTTCTCCTGGAGTTTTTGCTGCACAGCTCCATGATTCAGCCCTTTTTGGGTCAGATCCCCGCATTGCTTCTAACTGTTTAGTGTTCAGAGTTCAGGTAGGTAAGGTTTTGGAGTTTTTAAAACTATATGCAGAGATTTCAGTTAAAATCAGTGGGAATCATAGGCCATGGTTGGCTTGCTTCATCTTGACTGGCGCTGGAGTTGACATTTCTATCTGACTGGCTCCATTAAGAACGTGTGTTCAAAGCCAGGATTGGTGGTTCAAGCCTGTAATCCCAGCAATTTGGGGGGCTGAGGTGGGCAGATCCCTTGAGGTCAGGAGTTTGAGACCAGCCTCGCCAACATGGTGATACAACATGGTGAAACCCCGTCTCTACTAAACACACAAAAATTAGCCAGGCATGGTGGCACATGCTTGTAATCCCAGCTACCTGGGAGGCTGAGGCAGGAGGATCGCTTGAACCTAGGAGGCAGAGGTTGCAGTGATCTGAGATCATGCCACTGCACTCCAGTCTGGGCAACAGAGCAAGACTCCCTCTCAAGGAAAAAAAAACAAAACAACAACAACAAAAAAAACATATGTTCAAGCTTTGGTGGAATATATAGCACGGAGGGAAAAAATGAACAGTGTTTATTTTTTGATGATCAAAAGCAAATAGGAATGGGACAGGATCTGTAGTTTCTAAAGCGAGGTTTGAACCCCAAATAGACTAAAAATCAGATAGAACTCATTTCATTCACATTTTTCAGAAAGGGCTCTAGAACAATTTAAAGGTATCCCCGCAAGTGTGCTGAGATCCTCAAGTTTAACAGATCATTTGGTCAAAAACAAAGATACTCATTCCTTAGAGATGGAGAAGTGTAGCTTATGGTCAACAAGTATTTGAGCACCTGTTAAGTGTCTCTGTTTCTTTATTCTTCTTTGATACTGCACCCAAACTCAAAAGTGGTAGTATCTTAAAAATGTGCTATAATGTAGAATCTGAAACCTTATCAATGAACTTTCTGTATTCCTACATGAAAATACATTGGCCTATCTTGTACTTTGAATGGATTTCTTACTCATGCATGATTTCATAACATGACGCATTGACCATTTGGAAAATAGTAGTTTTACCATGTTATGCAGACCTTCCAAATGTGGTGAGATTTAATTATACAATATAAAAATCATATTTGTTAATACCACTATTGATCTGATGGGGGAAAGACTAAGTATTGGGAAGCTGTCAAACTCACAGTGGCAACTTTCTTAAAATTCTAATTTTTGCTTGAGAGCTCACACCCAGTCACTGGCAGCCAATACTGTCAGTTGTTTTCTTTGAAGTGACAAGCTTACTTTATTCACCTTCAAGAAAATGTCTATCAAATACCCAAATCTGAATAAATATATTTGGCCCTTCATTTCATTCTTTTAAGTAAAAATAGTGTTTCATGAAGAAAGCCAATAGTTCATCTCAGAACTTGAGACAACCATCATACTTTGCTATGCGGAGGGGCTTTATGTGTATGCTTCATTTCTTCACACTTGCATGTATTAACAATGTGTATGCAAGAGTCAGGATTTAATAATTTTTACTGCTTCAGTGAAGACATTCTTTTTTTTTTTTTTTTTGGTTGAGACGGAGTCTCGCTTTTTTGCCCAGGCCAGAGTGCAGTAGTGGCGCTATCTTGGCTCACTGCAAGCTCCGCCTCCCAGGTTCACACCATTCTCCTGCCTCAGCCTCCCGAGGCCTGTAGCTGGGACTACAGGATCCTGCCACCACGCCCGGCTAATTTTTTGTATTTTTAGTAGAGATGCGGTTTCACTGTGTTAGCCAGGATGGTCTCGATCTCCTGACCTCATGATCTGCCCGCCTCGGCCTCCCAAAGTGCTGGTATTACAGGCGTGAGCCACTGTGCCCGGCCCAGTGAAGATATTCTTAAATTAAACTGGCATTTTTTTTTTTCTGCTTGCACATGGCACTGAAGAATGCAATGACTGCTAGAATCATCTGGTCCCACTATCTTGATTTGCGCTATGAGGCTGGCAGTTTAACTTGCCTTGCTGTTGCACCAGCAGCGCAAATGACAAACAGTGAAAAAGACAAATAAATAACATCTTAGTAGTATTCCGAAAATAGTTTTGATCTCATGGACTGCCTAAAAGGGTGCTGGGGCCAGGTGCAGTGGCTCACGCCTGTAATCCCAACACTTTGGGAGACTGAGGTGGGCTGATCACTTGAGATCAGGAGTTAGAGACCAGCCTGGCCAACATGGTGAAACCCTGTCTCTACCTAAAATACAAAAATTAGCCAGGTGTGGTGGCACGTGCCTGTAATCCCAGCTACTCAGGAGGCTGAGGCATGAGAGTCGCTTGAACCCGGGAGGTGGAGTTTGCAGTGAG
This sequence comes from Homo sapiens, assembly GCF_000001405.40. NCBI lineage: Eukaryota > Metazoa > Chordata > Mammalia > Primates > Hominidae > Homo > Homo sapiens. The sequence continues at coordinate 12,989,492 of NC_000010.11, read as the reverse complement.
CTGAGATCGTGCCATTACACTCCAGCTTGGGCGACAGAGAGAGACTTTGTCTAAATAAGTAAGTAAAATGAATGAATGAGTGAGTAATGAATGAATGAATGGGTCCTGGGGCCCCCTAGGATTCTGCAGACTTGGGGAACTGCTGCTCTGGACTAAGTCAGTGGTGGACCATGGTAGAAGGGAGGTATTGACTGAGCCGAGGGCTTAAGGAATGGGGGATTTAATGGTCTGAGTGAAGGGAGGTTTGTGACCTCAGTATGTGGCCCAGAATTTCAGGAGACCTTGAGTGAACATTGAGCTTGGAATGATTTCAGGAGCTGGGCTTCTAGCCCTGCTGAATAATGGGCAGCTGCATGGGCAGCGTTGGGCCAGATTGTAGGGGGCTATGAAGACCTTTGTAAAGATTCCAGGGCTGAGACTCAGGAGACTCTGGATTGAGGGGGCTCGATCTGGACTTTGGAGAGTGACTAAGCATATACTGTTTTCAGAAAGCTTTTGAGCTATTTATAATCGTGCTACTCCCTGCTTTCTAGGTGAAGGCTATTAACTTATTCTGATTGTCATTACTCAGCCACTTGATTGGCCAAGTAGAGCCAAAGCTGGCAAGTAGGTAGGATGGTGGTCTTTTTAATTTATTCATTTGTACCTTCATTCTACATATATTTACTAAACACCTACAGTGTGTCACTGGGGATACAAAAGGGAACAGGAGAAAAGAGCTCCAGGCCCTCCTTGAACCTACGTGGTAGTGGGATGAGGGAGAGACAGTCACTACATCAATGAATGTATCAGTCCATAGGAAAAATAACAGATAATGATAGGTGTTTGGCCAAGAATTAAAAGAGGGTAGGTGGGGCGCGGTGGCTCATGCCTGTAATCCTGACACTTCGGGAGGCTGAGGTGGGCAGATCACTCGAGGTCAGGAGTTCAAGACCAGCTTAGCCAACATGGTGAAACTCTGTCTCTACTAAAAATACAAAAATTAGCCAGGCATAGTGGCACATACCTATAATCCCAGCTACTCAGGAGGCTGAGGCAGAATCGCTTAGACCTTGGAGGCCGAGATTGCAGTGAGCTGAGATTGCACTACTGTACTCCAGCCTGGGCGACAAGAACGAGACTCTGTCTCAAAAAAAAAAGGTAATAGGAATTGGAAGCCACTTTAGGTTGAAGAGATGACTTTTAAACTGAAATCTGAAGGACACAGAACCAGCCATACAAAGATCAGGCAGAAAAGCATGCCAGGCAGACCAAGAAGCCATTGCAATTGGCCCCAAGGTGAAAATGGCTTGGCCTTCTCGAGGGGTGGAAAAATAGGAATGAGCATTGGCGGTGGGGAGAGAATGGAACAAGCTGGGTTTGGAGAGGTGAGCATGGGCTGGATCATGTGGACATTTCTGAGCATGTGGGGGAAGATTAGATCTTTGTGATTTGGGGAGCCATTGAACGGCGTGGTGAGACGTGATGAGCCTTTCAGAAAAGGAACACTCTGGCAGCTGAGTGAACCACAGATTGCTGAGGGGCAAAAGCGGAAGCAGGGAGACCAGTTGGGAAACCACTGGAACTGTCTAGGCAAGACTGGAGGCTTGGACTAGTGGGTAGCAGTGGCTCTGGGAAGAAATGGCTGGCTCTGGGATATGTCTGGAAGGGGCGCTCTCCTGTGTTCTTCCAATTTGTCTTTGATCACAGACCACTGCTGTCACTACTTTTTAAGACATTTGCTCTGTGTCATCTTCCTCCAGCACCTCGACCACCCCCAGGGTATTGGCCAATGTCATGCTTTGTGCTGCAAAATATTACACTTCCTTTGGGAATATTTGTACCTGAATTAATTAATAACATACCTAGTTGAAAATAGTTTTAAGGCAGAAATTTGCATCTCGATAGATGCAAGAATAGACAGGTCCTTGATAGGTTTTAAAATAGAGTTCTGGGTTCTAACTGGGTGTCACTTGACCATTCTGAGGTTAGTTGCTTTATCTGAAAATTGGTTATAATATACCTACTGTGGTTTATCCATATCACTGTAATGATAATTTAAAAAAAGGTAACATACTAATAAGGACAGAGTATTGGTTATGTGTGAGGCGTTATGTTACAGCTCTCATAGCCCCATATATCCCATAAGATCTCCAGGCAGATGGGCGTTTATTCCATCCACATAGAAAATCCTTCCTACGTGCTTAGCACTGTGTCATGGGTTATGGAGAATGTAGTGGAAGAATTAGACCTGGTCTCTGAAGTCAAGTGATGAGATACAATTAACCCACATGAAAGATGGGTACTCCTGCTGGGCCACAGGAAATGGGAGGATTTGGTGGAGGTGAGAGACGATGAATTTAGACAGGGGAGGGATGTGTGCAGGCGCTGGGGTGAGCCAGCACACAGCAGAGGACAGGGCTGCATACCAGGGAATGGAGGGCCGATGAGGGTGCACGGGTCAGTGGACCCACACTGGGAGTTCCTGGCTTGTTTTTGAGTGTAGGCAGTTCACACTCGAAGAAGATTGCCCTCCAGCAAGGAGGGGTCAGGATTTGTGACTATACTGTGTGTGGTGTATCATTTCTTTCTTTTTTGTTTTGCCATCAAATGAAAGTTTTATTGAAACAGTTATTACTCTTAAACAGGGACAAATGCTATATTATTGTTACATTTTTAGTTTCCTATTTTACAGGGATTACTTTTTTGTTTTTGTTTTTGTTTTTTTGTTTTTTTTTTTTGAGACGGAGTCTCGCTCTGCCGCCCAGGCTGGGGTGCAGTGGCACGATCTCGGCTCACTGCAAGCTCCGCCTCCCGCGTCACGCCATTCTCCTGCCTCAGCCTCCCGAGTAGCTGGGACTACAGGCGTCCGCCACCACGCCCAGCTAATTTTTTGTATTTTTAGTGGAGATGGGGTTTCACCATGTTAGCTAGAGTGGTTTCCATCTCCTGACCTTGTGATCCGCCCGCCTTGGCCTCCCAAAGTGCTGGGATTACAGGCGTGAACCACTGTGCCCGGCCTACAGGGATTACTTTTTTAAAAAATTCATTTTATTTTGGAATAATCTTAGATTCACAGGCAGTTGCAAAGAAATGTACAGACGGGTCCCAGGCACCCCTCACCCCTTGTCCCCTACTGTTAATATGTTGTATAACTGTAGTGCAATATCAAAACCAGGCAATGACACTGATGAAATCTGCAGAGTTTATTCAGATGTTAGTATTCAGTCATTACACAGGCACTCATTTGTGTACATGTGTAAAACTCTGTGCAAGTTTATTACATGTATCTTACTGTAAAATGTACAAAAGTAATTACTTTTAATGGCAAAAATGGCAAAAAACTGCAATTACTTTTTGCACCAACCTGATAGTTACACAGGCAGTCATTTATGTACATGTGTAAAACTCGAGGCCAGGCACGGTGGCTCACGCCTGTAATCCTGTCTCTACTAAAAAATACAAAAAAAGTTAACTGGGCGTGGTGGCGGGCGCCTGTAGTCCCAGCTACTCAGGAGACTGAGGCAGGAGAATGGCGTGAACCCGGGAGGCGGAGCTTGCAGTGAGCCGAGATCGCGCCACTGCACTCCAGCCTGGGCGACAGAGCAAAACTCCGTCCCAAAACAAACAAATAAAAAACTCGATGCAATTTTATCACGTGTGTCTTTTGGTAACCCCACCACAATTAAGATACAGAACTGTCCCATCACCAAGTGGCTTCTTCCTGCTACCCCTTTTAAGCTACCCTTCCCCTCACCTATCCCTAAACTCTGGCAACCCTTAATCTTTTCTCCATATCTATAATGTTATTTCAGGTGTTATGTACATATAATCATACTATATGTGCCTTTGGAGATTGTCTTTTTTCATTCAACATAATTTCCTTGAGGTTAATCCAAGTTACTGGATTCCCTTTCATTGCTGGGTAGTATTCCATGGTGTAGATGCACCGCTGATTGCTTAACGAGTTGCCTACTGAAAGACATTACGGTAACTTTCAGTTTTTAGCTATTACGAATAAAGTTGCGGTGAACATTCACGTACAGAGTGTTGTGTAGGCATAAGTTTTCACTTCTCTGTTATAAATGCCCAAGAGTCCCATTGCTGGGTTGTATGGTAAGTCTATTTTTAGTGTTAAAAGAAACCCTGAAATTAATTTTCCAAAGGTCCTGTACCATTTATATTTCTATCAGCAATGGATAAAGCATCCAGTTCCCTGCCTCGTTGCCAGCATTCGGTGTAATTACTATTTCTTATTCTAGCTGTTTTGATAGGTGTGCAGTGCTATCTCATTATGGTTTTAAGGTTTTGCTTTTTAAAAAGTTAAGATACGATTTATATGCCACAAACTCACCCTGGATAAGAGTAGATTTCATATTTTTTGTTCTTTACCATAATTTAAAAAAAATCTATAGCTTTAAAAGTTTTTGGGTAGAGTAAAAAAAATCTATAGCTATGAATAGCGTAAACAGTTGAGTCTCTAACTGTACAATTAAGTGGTTTTCAGTATATCCACATATATGTGTAACCGTCACCACTTTTAACTTCAGAACATTTTATAACCCCCAAAAGAAACCCCAGATCCATTTTACTGATCAGTCTCAGTTCTTTGCTTCTTCCAGGCCCCAGCAATTGCTAGTCTATTTCTGTCTCTATGGCTTTGCCTACTCTGGACGTCTCATATACAGAAAATCTTACACTATTGTGTAAGATTTGTCTGTCTCAGGCAAGTCTCACTTAGCATAATGTTTTCAAGCTTCGTTCATATTGTAGTATGAATCAGTACTTTGTTCTTTTTTATGGCTGAATAATATTTCATGGTATGGTGCTATCACATTTTGTTTATTCATTCAGCAGTTTGGCATTTGATTTGTTTCCACTCTTGCCTGTTATAAATAATGCTGCTATGAACAGGTTTTTGTACGGATATAAGCTTTCATTTTTCATGGGTGTGTAACTAACTAGGAGCGGAATTGCTGGGTCAGATGGTAACTATGTTTAGCCTTTGCAGGAGCAGCCAGACTGTTTTCCAAAGCAGCTGCACCATTTTACGTGCCCACCAGCAGTGTATGAGGGTTGCAATTTCTTTACGTCTTCACTAGTAGTTGTTATTGTCTATCTTAATGATTTTAGTCATCCTAGTGGGACTCAAGTGGTATCACATTGTGGTTTTGATAGGCATTTCCCTAATGACTCATGATGTCGAGCATCTTTACGGTGCTTATTGGGCATTTGCATAGTGTCCTTTTGGGAGAAACGTCTATTCAAGTCCTTTGTCCAATTTTTAACTAGGTTGTCTTTTTATTGTTGAGTTGTAATAGTTCCTTGTTTATTATGGATACTAAACCCTTATCACATGTATGATTTGTACACATTTTCTCCCATTGTGTGTGCTGTCTTTTCACTGTGGGTTTTTTGTTTGTTTGTTTGTTTTTTGAGAGAGTCTTGCTCTGTCACCCAGGCTAGAGTGCAGTGGCACGATCTTGGCTCAATGCAGCCTCTGTCTCCCGGGGTCAGGTGATTCTCCCACCTCAGTCTCCCAAGTAGCTGAGATTACAGGCATGCACCACCATGCCCAGCTAACTTTTGTATTTTTAGTAGAGACAGGGTTTTACCATGTTGGCCAGGCTGGTCTCCAGCTCCTGACCTCAAGTGATCTGCCCACCTCAGCCTCCCAAAGTACTGAGATTACAGGCATGAGTCATTGCGCCCAGCCTCAGTGTGGCTTTAATTTGCATTTCCCTCATGGCTAATGATGTCAATCATCTTTTCATCTGTACATTTACCATCTGTCCGGCCTCTTTGGTAAAATGTTCATATCTTTTGCCCATTTTTTTTTTTTTTTGCCACTTCTTTTTATTAGAGCTATGACTGTAAACATTCCCTTTGTAGTATGTTGAAAGTTTTTTTCGTTTTGTTTTCTTTTGTTTTTTTTTTTTCTTGAGAGAGGGTTTCACTCACATAAGCCAGGTGGGAGTGCAGTGGTGCACTCTTGGCTCACTGCAACCTCTACCTCCCAGGCTCAAATGATCTTCCTGCCTCAGCCTCCTGAGTAACTAGGACTGCAGATGCACACCACCACCCTGCTAATTTTTGTATTTTTAGTAGAGACAAGGTTTCACCATGTTGCCCAGGCTGGTCTCGAACTTCTGACCTGAAGTGATCTGCCCGCCTCAGCTTCCCAAAGTGCTGGGATTACAGGCATGAGCCACCACTCCCTGCTGTTTTCAAATTCTTCTTTGCATCAGTGTTAAGATGGATTAGAGACACAACTGTTAAGCTACTCATAGCTATAGATTCTTTTTAATTCTACCCCAAAACCTTTAGAGCTATAGATTTTATATATATATATATATATATATATATATATATATATATATATACACTATTTTATTTATTTATTTATTTTTTGAGACAGCCATCACCCAGGGTGGAGTGTAGTGGCATGACCTTGGCTCACTGGAACCTCCGCCTTCCGGGTTTAAGCCATTCTTGTGCCTCAGCCTGTTCAGCAGCTGGGATTACAGGCACCCGCCACCATGCCCAGCTAACTTTTGTATTTTTAGTGGAGATGGGTTTCACGATGTTGGCCAGGCTGGTCTCAAACTCCTGATCTCAAGTGATCTGCCCACCTCGGCCACCCAAAGTGCTGTTATTAAAGGCGTGAGCCATTGTGCCCTGCATAGAGGTATGGTTTTTTTTTTTTTTTTTTTTTTTTTTTGAGACAGAGTCTTGCTCTGTCACCCAGGCTGGAGTGCAATGGTGCAATCTTGGTCACTGCAACCTCCACCTCCTAGGTTCAAGTGATTCTCCTGCCTCAGCCTCCTGAGTAGCTGGGATTACAGGTGCATGCCACCACACCCAGCTAATTTTTGTATTTTTAGTAGAGATGGGATTTCACCATGTTGGTCAGGCTGGTCTTGAACTCCTAACCTCAAATGATCCACCCACCTCGGCCTCCCAAAGTGTTGGGATTACTGGTGTGAGCCACTGCACCCGGCCGATTTTTTTTTTAATTATGGTAAAAAACACGTAATATGAAATCTACTCTTAACAAAATCTACAGTATTGTTAACTGTGTGTACGCTGTCGTATAGCGGATTTCTAGAACTTTTTCATCTTGCATGACTGAAACTCTGTTTTGTTGCCCTTTCCCCAGCTAAGTCCTCACCTCTCCAGCCCCTGGCAAGTACCATTCTTTCTGTTTCTGTGAGTTTCAGTGCTTGAGATCCCTTATATAAGTGGAATCATGCAGTATGTGTCTTTCTATGACTGGCTCATTTCACTTAGCTTAATGTCCTCAAGGTCCTCCACGTTGCAGCGTGTGACCATGGCTTTTGATTTTGATTGGTGGTAGCTCACTTTTTTTTTTTTTTTTTTTTTTTTTTTTTTGAGACAGAGTCTCTCTCTGTCTCCCAGGCTAGAGTGCAGTGACATGATCTCGGCTCACTGCAACCTCTGCCTCCCGAGTTCAAGCAATTCTCCTGCGTCAGCCTCCAAGTAGCTGGGACTACAGACACATGCCACCACGCCCAGCTAATTTTTGTATTTTTAGTAAAGACAGGGTTTCACCATGTTGGCCAGGATGGTCTTGATTTCTCGACCTTGTGATCTGCCTGTCTCAGCCTCCCAAAGTGCTGGGATTACAGGGGTGAGCCACCGTGCCCAGCCGCTCACTTCTCATTTTTAACTCATGGATAATCATGTGGTATCACTATGACTCACTTTCTCCATCGTAACTCATAGGGGATGGAATTTGGTAGTAACTAAAGTCAGAGCTTTGTAAATAAACAGGACTCTTGCCATGGACTACTTCATAGATGCCCTCAGTAATAGCACCTGTGCCAAAAAGTCAGCAGTCAGCAGGAGAAAGTTCTCACCCTGCCTGGTTGAAGAGGCTTCACTGGCCTCATTTCCTCCTGAATTTTTATCACTTTTCTTGTATAACTAAGTTTATTTTTCAATCCCCCAAGCCTCTCCAGAGAGCCTCAGTATATGATATGCTTAGGTGGATCCAAAAGGATCCTGGGCTGGGCACGGTGGCTCACGCCTGTAAACCCAGCACTTTGGGAGGCCGAGGCAGGCAGATCACCTGAGGTCAGGAGTTCTGAGACCAGCCTGGCCAATATGGTGAAACACTGTCTCCACTAAAAATACAATACAAAAATTAGCTGGGTGTGGTGGCAGGTGCCTGTAATTCTACCTACTCGGGAGGCTGAGGCAGGAGAATCACTTGAACCTGGGAGGCGGCAGTTGCCATGAACCAAGATCACGCCACCACACTCCTGTCTGGCCAACTGTGAGAATCCATCTCAAAAAAAAAAAAAAAAAAAAAATCCTGGGCCAGATGCAGTGGCTCACACTTGTAATCCTGGCACTTAGGAAGGCTGAAGCAGGAGGCTGGCTTGAAGCCAGGAGTTCAAGACCAGCCTGGGCAACATAGCAAGACCCTGTCTCTTAAAAAAAAAAAAAAGTCTAATCTTCCATAAAGGGTCTCCTCTCCCCCAAAGAGAGACTCCTCAAGCCAGCCTTCCTCTGGCCTCATGAAGTAACCAATGCTAGGGTCATGATTATGGCAATGTGCCAGAGTACTAGAAGCAGAGCTTGAGAGAAAGTGTGCCGAGAGTCTTGCAGTCTAGGAGATAGAAGATTCTGAGTTCTGTTTCCAAAGTCCCCTGTAGCTGTTTGCTTCATTGAATCCTCTCTCGGTGTCTTGCCCCCATGCAGACGTGGGGTCTGAATATGTAGACCATCTTTCCAGGGTCTAGGCAAAGAAGAATGACAGGCTCATAGGATCTATGGCCATAAAGCTGTGGTTTTAAATAGGAAGTGATCATTTATCTCCCCTCTGTGTTGGAAGCAGAAAGTTTGCTATTATCTGAGCTCTCCGGGAGGACATCTTAGCTCATGCAAACTTCTCCGGGGAAGAAGACATTATCTTTGCTTACCTAAGCCTTTCTTCCTCCACCCCCTCCTCCCTGTCTGCCCTGTGTTTCTGCCTCATCCCATCCATCACAGACACCAGCAGATTCAGCTCTCCCCTTTCTCAGCTGGCACGGAGGTTTTACAGACCCGTGGGGACATTTCTGGGGACTGATGGCTGTGGTTAGAATAAGCGCAGCCTGTGAATCTTGGGCTGGAGAGGATCTCCTCCTGTCTTCCCCATGCTGTTTTGGCTCTCACTGGACAGACCCTCAGGGACACTGTCAAGCTTCAGTTCCCCTGGCTGGTTCTCATCTTTCTTTTAGTTAAATCAGCTGTGACACCTGGCAGAGCCATGCTTCCCCCAGGGGTCTAAGCAAACCCAGATGCTTTTGGCAGTTTCCAGGGACTTGGGGCCCCAGAGATCACCCGACGTACTTGAGGGCAGTCTGTTTGCTTTGCAGGGGCACAGGATGAAGAATGTCAGGACTGAAAGGGACCCGGGAGATTGCCTAGTCGAACCCTTTCATGTAACATCATAAAAGAATCTCCTAAGAAAATTAGGACATACCCATAGCTACAACTATTAGCACGTAGCCTAGTGATGCTCTTTTGACCTTAAATGCAATAATCATCATTTCAATGATTAAACTATTAAGGCTATCAGTAGAAACTAGCATGGGGCTTCAAAAGTGCACAGGCCTGTGCCCTTTGCCACAGCTTTGTAGTAAAGCAAAACTGTCCTACTGAAGGTCAGCTGAAGTGAACAAATCAACCCATATCATTAACCAAAAAGCAACTGAGGCAGGTGTCTCAGTCAGTAGCGGTTTATTTAGCCAAAGTTTGAGGATGCACCAGGGAAAACACAAGTCACCAGAGCATCTGTGTTTGACCTGTGCTTTTCCAAAGAGGGTTTTGGGGGCCAGGTGTGGTGACTCGTGCTTGTAATCTTAGCACTTTGGGAGGCCAAGGTAGGAGGATCACTTGAGTCCGGGAGTTTGAGATGAGCATGGGCAACAGCAAGACCCTGTCTCTACTAAAAATATAAAAATTAGGCATGGTGGTGTGTGCCTGTGGTCCCAGACACTTTGGAGGCTGAGAAGCCAAGGAGGTCGAGGCTGCAGTGAGCTGTGATCATGCCACTGCACTCCAGCCTGGGCAATGGAGTGACACCTTGTCTCAAAACCAAAAACAAAGACAGAGGGTTTGGGGAGCTTCTGTATTTGAAAGGGAAAGAACAAGCAGGAGGGGAAAAAAAGAAAGGGAGGGCAGGCAGCGAGCACTTACTGATGAACACTCAGTAAATCTACATCTTTCATGTGAAAAGTCAGTGGTGCATTCTTCTGAGTGTAGGCAGAAGGTTGATGTCTGGTCTTGCCCTTGTCCTGTGAAGATAAGTTGGTAATTGACATTGTCAGGGTGAGATTCAACAGAACTCAGTTTTAGGGCTAGTTTATAGAGAGGGATATGTATCCTGAAAGAGTTAGGGGCTCACGAGGAATTTCCTTGTGAGCAATTTGTGAGGCCATCTGGGGAGATATGTGATCTTCTGTCAACATGGGAGCCTGGCTTATGGATGAGGCGATGACACAGGGTTGTGAAATGACAGCTCTCATTTGGGAACAAAAGGAAGGCGGTGTTGCGTGACTCAGTTCCCAAGGTTGCCTTTCCTTTTGGCATAATGAGTGTGGGGTCCTGAGATTGCATTTACTTTCACAAAACAGCACGCATATTAAAAAATGAAGGAAGAACATTCTTACATGGTACAGATAGTAACTTGTTAGGTCCTTTCTAAATTAGTTACCTGCTCTAAGGAAAGGGTCCTCTTTCCATTTCCTTATTCTGAGGCTAGAGAGAAGGGTGGATTCCCCAGTTTTCAGGGAGATGGTGGTCATCGTGTCTGCAGACTAGGTTTGCTCCCTGGGTGTGGTCCAACTTTCTTTCTGACTTGCCGTCCTCTCTGGGTCTCCCTGCAGACCCCAGGTTGGCCTCCTGCCTTTCTGCTTTCTCTGGCCTTATCTCTCTCTCTCTCTCTCTCTCTGGTTCCATTCTCCAGGACCCGCAGATTTCTTCTGCTTCCTGAATACTCCCTTGACCGTGTCATGTAACCCCAAGGTTCTGCTAAACAGTCAAAGCCGATTCCATCGGATAATTCGAGTTAAAGTGTAAAAGGAGGGTAGTAGCACATTTCTGTGAACATGTACATTTGAAAGTTTTCATCTCTTAACCTGAAAATGTGATTGGAACAGGCGCTTCAAGAGTGTGGAAAATATGGCCAGGTGCGGTGGCGCATGCCTGTAGTCCCAGCACTTTGGGAGGCTGAGGCGTGTGGATCACCTGAGGTCAGGAGTTTGAGACCAGCCTGACCAACATGGTGAAACCCCCTCTCTACTAAATACAAAAAACTTAGCCAGGTGTGGTGGCACATGCCTATAGTCCCAGCTACTTGGGAGGCTAAGGCAGGAGAATCACTTGAACCTGGGAGGCGGAGGTTGCAGTGAGCCAAGATTGTGTCACTGCACTCCAGCCTGGATGACAGAGTGAAATTCCATCTCAAGAAAAAAAAAAAAAAGAGTGTGGAAAATGGCTTTTCTTTCCCAAGCGATACATGTGGTCCCTTAAACCACATCATTGACACCATCTGTACGCCATCCACGCACAAGCCCGGGCCTGAGTTCTGGTCCTTTGTCCTGTTCTGGAGGAAGATTCAACCTATGTGGATCCCAGGGATGTCTTTTATGAGTATTTATCTGAAACTGCTAATGAACATGATTCTTACCTTTTAAATGCAATTCTTTTCATGAACAATAGGAACTTGATATGCATCTGTTAATGATGAAATCTTAGCATGGTTGATGAAGTTGGCAATAAATCTTTCCTATGGTTTGAAAACTGCTTCTAAAGTCTGTTGGAAAGGTCCTGTGAGCCTGGATTTTATGTTGTAAGAAGCAGTAATTAATTGAAAGGCTCTGTGAGGGTTATTTCTTCAGCCCCTCCCCACTCCATGTTGCAAATATGTTTCTCTCATGCCTGGGGTTTATGCTTCTGGAGAGATCTGTCCAAGGAAATTGACTTTAGATGCTACAGTTGTTAACTTTGCAATCAGCTACTATTAATAGCTTTTATGGGGTCGGGGGTTTGTTCTCTTCCTTTGAGAAGTTTATGGACAGTGGTGTCCACAGGCACTTAAGGACACCAAGAGAAAATTTAGAGGGCACTGCTTACTCTCTTAAAGACACGACACTTTCTTTTCTTTCTTTTCTTTTTCTTCCTTTCCTTTCCTTTCCCCTTTCCTTTCCTTTCTTTTCCTTTTTTTTGAGACAAGGTCTCGCTCTGTTGCCCAGGATGGAATGCAGTGGCGCAACTTCAGCTCACAGCAACCTCTGCCTCCCAGGTTCAAGCGATTCTCCTGCCTCAGCCTCTCGAGTAGCTGGGGTTACAGGCACTCGCCACCATGCCCAGCTAATTTTTCTGTTTTTTGGTAGAGATGGGGTTTCACCATGTTGGTGAGGTTGGTCTCAAACTCCTGACCTCAAGTGATCTGCCCACCTTGGCCTCCCAAAGTGCTGGGATTACAGGCGTGAGCCACTGCACTCGGCCTGACAGACACTTTCGAGTGGGGGACACCATTCTGAGCTTTGGACTGGGGAGCCCACTCCTTCTGTCAATACCATAATCTAGTGCTATTGTTTGGTTTATAAAAAATAGATTTAAATTTACACTGACACATTAAACACCCAGACTTCATAGTTTAGGGTTCACTCTTGGTATTGTACATTCTATGGGTGTAGACAAATGTGTAATGACAGGTACCCACCACTGTAGTATCGGACAGAGCCACTTCACTGCCCCAAGAATCCCCTGTGCTTCACTGATTTATTCCTCTCCCCAAGTCTTACTGGATTTTCAGCAAGAATTAAATTATTCTGCATATTGGACAGGGCCTATTTAGAGGCCTGCACATCTGTTTTTATCCATTTGTGTAACGATACCGTGTGTGAAAGTAGGTTCATGGATCAGATGAGAAAAGTCAATTCTCTAAGATACCTTCCCTTGTGGCTGTGGATTCTCACCTTGATGATTCAGCTTTGTGTGATGGAGGTGTCTGCCAGAGAATTCCTGGCCACCCAGCTCCTCAGCCCTCTGCCCCCACCCCCAATACACACACCTTTCTCCATTGTACCAGATGCTGTTGGAAATTAGGGACCATTTCATCTTCATCTTTGTAGCCTGGGGCCTAAAGCACAGTAGTAATTGCTCAGTAGATGCTCTGTGTGTGAGTGAATGAATGAATGAACGAATGAATGCTCAACCACCAGGTCCTAAAACGCCTTTGTTTACTCAGCTACATGCTCATTTCCTGACTGCAGGTTGCCCTTCCCTGCTGCCCATGCCTAGCTCTCTGCCCACCCATCTTAGGGGAAATAGGGCCAAGGCCGGGTCTCTAGAGACACACAGAGGTTGTGTCTCAGCCCAGCCTGGGATTGTCACTCTGGGATGAGTGAGCAAGGGTGTGAGCTGGTAGAGATGGCATCGCTCCAATGTGTGGGTCCGATCAGGAGAGACATAGGGCTTACAGGCAAATAGCAGAAACCCCACCTCTGCAGGGATTTGCATCTCCTGCCTTCAAGAGAGTACAATGCAGTGTAGAAGAGTGTGTCTTGGAGCCAGGGTCTTGGCTGGGCTGTGTCCTGAATTTGCAGCCTGGCTCATTTCAACTCACTGAAACCAGGGGAGATGAAATTTTACACCTGCAATTTGGGATTGGGCTCATTCTGTCACCCTTGCTGACATGGTTCAAGGACAGTAGGAGTGAGATGCTTTGAGACCTTTCTGTGAAAGTTGCTGGTTATATGAACACTCTGTGCCTGACTCTTTCAAGTGCCAGGGCTACCTCTTCATGTGACACAGGGTGCTGGCAACAGAAAAATGACTGTTAGCAGGACCAGCCCACCTAATTCTCAGCAGGTGGGCCACTTTCTGTCCAGAGTCCCTGCTGCAGCCTTGGCCACCTGCACAAAGGGAGGCTTGCAAGTCCTGGAACCGGAGCAGGGGTGGTTCAGCATTGATTTGCCCATCCTTCCTCTCATTGACAAACAGCCAGGGGTGAGTTGAGTTAGTGGATTTGTTTCCTCTTAAGAGGCTGCCGAAACTGATCTTGTTCTTACTCCTTTCTAAGGTGGAATGAATGGCCAGCAGGTGGAGTTAGGGCTGAGCAGAACTCTGGAAGGTTCCTGCCTCTTCAAAACTCCAAATGAATCTTGGTTTGTTTCCATGGGAGGGCAGTGGGGGTGTCTGGGTGGAGGGAGGACTGAGCACCTCCTCGCTCAGTGTTGTGAAATGGGCAGAGGCGTCAAAGACCCTACACAGAAGACATTTGTTAGAGCAAGGAGCCGGGTCAGGGTCTTGGGAAGAGCTTGTGAAGGAGGATCTGAGCCCACAACACTAATTTAAACCTAGAATGGAACCAGCCAGAAAACCCTACCTAGTGACTAGAGCGGCGTGAGTTTGGCATGGACGAGACTCCTGGCTTTGCCAGCTGTTTCAGCATCTCGAAATCTCCTAACCTCAGTGTTTCTGAGTCTTTATTTGTCACGTGACATGTGAGGTGGGCATAATTCCTACCTCGCAGGGGTTAGGAATGTGTATGTGTAGAAAACACCAGGTACTGTGAGTCTCTAATGCATAGTGGGTTCTCAAAAAATATTAGTAACGTTCAACGATGAAACCAGAGGAATATATCACTGGGGAGACTGTGCTGCCATGAAATCCAAAGGCGATCCAAATCTGGTGATGAAACCTTTGTCTGTGGCTGGGATTCAAGAATTTGGCAGTGGATGTGCTCTAAGAAGACCCAAGGAAGAATGAATGATCCGGGGGTGTCATGTTGGCCGGGGAGGATACAGCCCAGCCTGGGTCTTCCTGGCTGTGGGCTCAGCCCTCGGCCCCATGGTGACTCAGAACTTGAATTCAGTCAGTCCTGTGCTCCACACCTCTGCTTCCCAGCACCTACCCCACACATCCCCTGCCTTCAGAAGGCTGAAAGGAGGCTGAGTTTAGGTGGATAGAACAGACACACGTACAATTTCTAAACTCCATATAATTGATATCACTTAAATATCACAGTCAACCCGCAGTCAGCCCCATCCTCTGCTCCTGGAGATAACAACTGTGAAAACAGGGTGGGAGCAAAACAGGACAGGGATAAGGTCAGTCCCTGCCAGCAGGACAGCGGAAACCTCTGGCCTGCACCAGGCTGCCCCGTGCCTATGCTCTGTTGATGACGACTTGGCCAGGTTCAGAAAGCGGCCCCCTCCTAGATGGAAACTCCAGGCAGGAAGTTCGCACATCTGGCTCTGTCTTCTGCATGTGATGAGTTTTTCTCGCCGTACCCGGCAGGCTTTTCCTATCCAGCAAATTTCATTATGTTGCCTAGGTTATTGCAGATTTCAGAATGCTGGGTCCATCACCCCATATTTCCCACCATGAAAGGGGCTATAGACTGTGACCTTTGACCTTTCTGGAACCTCTAGGCCTTTCTGGAATGCTGCCTGGTTCTTGGAGTGCTTGTACTTCTCTTGCTGTTGGATCTTCACAACCATAGGTGCCATTTTCCCCATTTGATTGGTGAGGATAGGGAAGTCAGTGACCCAGTCAAAGTCGGAGATTGTTTGTGATTAGAAAAAAAATTCCAGGTCTCCTAATGCCTTCTCAAATGCTTTATTTTAAAAAACCACATCACACTACTTGTGTGGCAAGAAAAGCCAGGGTCATGCAAGAGGCTGTGGGGATATAAAACCTGGGTCAGGTTTACCTGGAAGACCAAGTAAGGCCGTGGAGTTATAAAACCTGGGTCAGGTTTACCTGGAAGCCCAAGTAAGGCCGTGGGGATATAAAACCTGGGTCAGGTTTACCTGGAAGCCCAAGTCCAGTAGAAGTTGGGTAACGAGTACAGTGAGTAAAAGGAAACTGACACCTTATCATGGACAGGGTTGTGCTGGGAACCCACCCAGTAATCACTGCGTATGACCTTTTAGGGGAGACTTCCACGTAGGAAGAACATGGTTGGCTCCTCCTACATTTTCCTGAACAGACCGGCAAGGACCAGTGGCATTCCCCAAGGGAGCTCCTTGAGGAATTCAGGGATGAGGCCAGTCTGTTGCCTGACTTTTGACCCATTTCCATTGCTCAGGCCTTCCCCCATTGGTTAGTCTCTCTGGAGAGCCTCCTCCCCCTCCATTCAGCTGTGACTTAACTGGTGGGCTGGGCCGCTGTCCTCGGGCCCAGGACCTGGGACACGTGGCTGGGTGCAGGGCCCTGCACCATGCTGTGATATTGTGTTCTTGCATCCTTTAGAGAAGGTCTCATTGTGACTCCCTTCCCCTGTAATCCATCAGACTACTTTTTGACAGTAGAGCCCTCAGGTCTTAAATGAAATAAGCCTTGGGCTTATTTATCTGTCTTTTCCTGGTCCCCAGCAGAGCACCTGGCACGTAGTAAGGGCACAGTCAATGGTAGCTGCCACATTGTCCTTATTTTCTATTCCTTACAACAGTTTCAAAAGCAAGGGGACATCTCCCTCATTTTGCAGATGAGGAAACAGGCTTAAAGGAGAAGGCTGCCTGGTCACGAGCTGCAGCCATGGGATTCAAACCGTGCCTGTCTGGATTCAAAGTTGGAGTTCTTTCTACTACATCACTGCAGTTCTCCTGAATGAGAAACCACACCAAACTGGTTTATGCCATTCCTTATTTTATTTTATTTTATTTATTTTTGAGACAGAGTCTCATTCTTTTACCCAGGCTGGAGTGCGGTGGTGTGATCTCGGCTCACTGCAACCTCTGCCTCCCGGGTTCAAGAGATTCTCATGTCTCAGCCTCCTGAGTAGCTGGGGTTACAGGTACCCACCACCACGCTGAGCTAAGTTTTGAATTTTTAGTAGAGACGGGGTTTCACCATGTTGGTCAGGCTGGTCTTGAACTCCTAACCTCAGGTGATTTGCCTGCCTTTGGCCTCCCAAAGTGCTGGTATTACAGGCATATGCCATCGTGCCTGGCCCAATTTCTCATTTTAAAAGCTTCTGGAATATGACTTGGAGTTTCTAGGTGACTTTGGGACAGGGTGAAGGGGACTTGGTAGGTAGTAGGAGGGTGTCAGAGCTCCAGCACAGAATGGGATGTGGTTGAGGGCAGGATTCAGATCCAGCAGGAAACCCAGAGTGCCAGGCTGGAAACTGAGGCAGAAGCCCAAGGGTGTGCCTGGGGCTATGGCAGGGATGAGTCTCCAGGTGGCTTTGGAAGTTGGGGGTGAGGGGAAGAGGAAGCTGGAGGCTGCTTGGTTGTAAATGTGGTGAAAACATGAAGAAACTCACAGGAACCAGTGAGGGTGGAGAGTGGGGTTGAGTTTAAGGGCATGTGTGGGTGCGTGAGCTTGGTTGGATTGTGTATGGCATGAGGTGGTGGTTTGATAGTGAGTTACTGTCCTGCACGCAGCAGTGTGCTAGGTGGAGAGAAGTCCAGGCTCCCAGCACAGGAGGTGATAGTTGAAGCCATAAGGCAGCATTAGGAGAGGCAGGAGAGAGCAGAGGGTAAAGACAAAAACTTCGGGCTGGGCATGGTGGCTCACACCTGTAATCGCAGCACTTTGGGAGGCTGAGGTGGTCAGATCACGAGGTCAGGAGTTTGAGACCAGCCTGGCCAACGTAGTGAAACCCTGTCTCTACTAAAAATACAAAAAAATTAGCCGGGCATGGTGGCAGGCACCTGTAATTCCAGCGACTTGGGAGGCTGAGGCAAGGAGAATCGCTTGAACCTGGGAGGCGGAGGTTGCAGTGAGCTGAGATTGCGCCACTGCACTCCAGCCTGGGCAACAGTACAAGACTCTGTCTCGAAAACAAACAAATAAAAACTTCGGGGCTTGGGCACTGGTGGGACCAGAAGAGGGAACACACCTCAGTCCAGCAGACAGCAAAGGAGCTGTTACAACACGGGCGGGAGAGCAGGGGTTGTGGCATGGCGGGACCCAGGCACAGAGGCTGCTGGGGACAATAGGGTAGCAGTGCCAGGAGCTGACATTCAGGATGCCAGGAGGACACTGGATCTGGCAAGGAGGCCATTTAGGACCTAGAGTGTGGGTTCCTTCTTTTCTGCATCTCCATCTGCGGTGGGCTACAGTGAGAAGCTGTGCTCTGAGTGAGAGATCTAAGGTTCTCAAAGACCAATTTGTGGCCAATCTGCAGGACCTGTTAAGGCAAGCAAATGTCCTCATTCCTTTCCGAAAGGATAGAAGCCACATGCATGTTCTGCCCAGGCATTGTTTCAGCTGCGCACGATGCCCCAGGCATTGGTTCAGCTGCCCACGATGGCCCCTTTCCTGCTCACGCCAGCTACTTAGGGTTACACTCCATGGTGTAAATATAGCTCATGAGTCCCTGGGGACAGGGAGGGAGGCAGCACTCTGTGGACAGTGGACAGCTTGGGATCTGATTCACATTAACGGTATAAGGCTTTTCTTCCCTTCAAAATTCTGTAACTCTGTAGACCTTTATATTTAAGCCTTGACATTACATCAGTAAGTAGATAGATTCCAGATTTAAAAAATGAACGTTGAGAAGTAGAAGGGTTTAATGATAGGCCAAACTTTGCGAAGTGCTTTATAGTTGCTTAGTTATTGGTTTGCAGACTGACAATTTTTTTTTTTTTTTTGAGACAGTCTTGCTCTGTCGCCCAGGCTAGAATGCAGTGATGCGATCTCAGCTCACTGCAACCTCCACCTCCCAGGTTCAAGTGATTCTCCTGCCTCACTCAACCTCCTGAGTAGCTGGGATTTCAGGTGTCTGCCACCATGCCCAGCTACGTTTTGTATTTTTGGTAAAGACAGGGTTTCACCATGCTGGCCAGGTTAGTCTCGAACTCTTGGCCTCAGGTGATCCCCAGTTGCCCTGCCTCGGCCTCCCAAAGTGCTGGGATTACAGGCGTGAGCCACCGTACCCGGCCCAGACTGACTTTTAATTTATTTAATTAAGTAAAAGTTGTATATGTTTATTGTGTACAGTATGATTTTAAATATATGTATACGTTGTAGAATGGCTACATCAAGCTAATTAACATGTATACTACCTCACAAACTTATTTTTTTGGGGTGAGAACCTTAAGATCTACTCTTTTAGCAATTTTCCAATACATACTACAGATGTACCTCAACTTACGATGGGGTTGTACAGCAATAAACCCACCGTAAGTTGAAAATGCATTTAATACCCCAGTGAACCCACGGTAAAGTTGAACTATTGTATATTGAACCACCATAATAGTGTTATTGACTGTAGTTGCCGCGATATGCAGTAGATTTTGTAAACTCATTCCTCCGGTGTAACTGAAATTTTGCGTCTGTGACCAACATCTCCCCTCACCCCTCATCCTTCAGCCTTTGCCAGGAAAAGCTGTGACTCACCCCTTCCTGTAACTTTTAAATTACCATCTTGGAGACCACCATTGATGAAAAAACCCTAAAAACCCATACATTAGAAAAAACACTACCAAAATACATCAAGAAGCTAATTTAACTTGAGATAAGGCATTGCAGGCTATCCTGTTTTAAATTAAAATGGCTTCATTAAATAGGCATACACTGAGTCCCTTTGAAGTATTTTATTTTTCTGTCTTATCCTCTGTTTCTATGAGTTTGACTTTTTTATACTCCACATATAACTGAGGTCACATGGTATTTTGCTTTTCTGTGACTGGTTTAGTTCACTTAACATAATTTCCTCCAGGTTCATCCATGTTGTCACAAATGACAGGATTTCCTCTTTTTTTTTTAAGAATGAATATCTTAAAAATATTTTTTAAAAATATTAGAATATTAAATATTAAAATTATTAAAATATTTTTTAAAATATTAAAAAATTTCTAAAATTTTTTTAAGAATGAATAATATCCTACCATATATATTATATAAAAAAACTTTTTTTATCCATTCATCTGTCAATAAACACTTAGGTTGGCTTCTTTTTCATACTGTTATCATATCCTTTGGATATGTACCCAGTAGTCGGTTTACTACTGGGTACGTAAGCTTCTGAATCTTATGTACTAAATTACCTTGGGTAATTCTATTTTTAATTTGTGGGTGTGTGTTGTTATATATTTACCATAATTGAACATAATTTCCAATCTATTTTTAATTTTTTGAGGAAACTCCATACTGTTTTCTATAGTGGTGTACTAATTTACATTCCCACCAACTGTTACAAAGGTTCTCTTTTCTCCACATCCTCATCATCATTTATTGCTTGTCTTTTTTATTATAGTCATTCTAACAGGTGTGAGATGACAGTTCATTATGGTTTTAATCTCCTTTTCCCTGATGATTCGTGATGTTGAGCATTTTCTTATTTACCTTTGGGCCATTTGTATGTCGTCTTTAGAGAAATGTCTATTTGGGTCCTTTGCCCATTTTTTAATTGACTTGTTTACATGCTATTGAGTAGTTTCAGTTCCCTGTATGTTTTGAATATTAACTTCTTATCAGGTGTGTAGTTTGTCTTTTATAGGAGATTTTAATCTGTTTACACTCAAGATAATTATTGATAGGTAAGGATGTACTATTGCCATTTTGTTAATTGTTTTTTGCTTGTTCCTTTGTTCCTTTCTTCCTCTCTTGCTGTCTTCTTTATGATTAGATGATTTTCTCTCATAGTTTGCTTTGATTCCTTACTTTCTATCTTTGGTGTATCTACTATAGATTTTTGCTTTGTGATTACCTTGAGGCTTACATAAAAGATACTGTAATGGGCTATTTATTTTAAGCTGTAAATAACTTAACCTTGATTGCATGATAATACTCCATACTTTTAATCCACCTCCCCATTTTGTGTTTTTGATGTCACAGTTTACATCTTGTATATCCCTTAAAAAATTATAGCTATTATTTTAAATAGTTTCATCTTTTAACCTTCATACTAAAGATAAATGTTACTTACATACCACCATTATAATATTAGACTGTTCTGAATTTGACTACTTACTTTTACAAATGAGTTTTATACTTTGATGTATTTTCCTGTTACCCATTAGCATCTTCTTTCAGCTTGAAGAACTCTCTTTAACCTTTCTTGTAAGACAGGTCTGTTGGTGATGAACTTACTAAGCTTTTGTTTGTTGGGAAAAGTCTTTCTCTCCATTTCTGAAGTACAGCCTTGCTAGGTACAGTGTTCTTGGTTGACAAGTTTTTTCCTGCAATACTTTGAATATATCATCCCACTTTTTCACGGCTTAGGTTTCTACTGAGAAATCTGCCACTAGCCTTATTGGAACTTCTTTATATATTGTTTTCCTGTTTTCTCTTGTTCCTTTTAGGATACTCTGTGTGTGTGTGTGTGTGTGTGTATGTGTGTGTGTTTGTATTTTCTTTTTTTTTTCTGAGGTGAAGTCTCGCTCTTTCACCCAGGCTGGAGTACAGTGGTGTGATCTTGGCTGCCTGCAAACTCTGCCTTCCAGCTTCAAATGATTCTCCTGCCTCAGCCTCCAGAGTAGCTGGGATTACAGGCACACGCCACCACACCTGGCTAATTTTTGTATTTTTAGTAGGGACTGGGTTTCACCATGTTGGTCAGGCTGGTCTCGAACTCCTGACCTTGTGATCTGCCCGCCTCGGCCTCCCAAAGCGCTGGGATTATAGGCATGAGCCACCATGCCCGACCTGTCTTTATACTTGACAGTGTGATGATAATATGTCTTGGGATAGTCTTGTTTGGATTGAATCTGATTAGAGAACTTTGACTTTCTTTTACCTGGATATTTGTGTCTTTCCCTAGAATTGGCATGTTTTCTGCTATTGTTTAAGCTTGCCTACCCCTTTGCCCCTATGTTTTTTTCCCTTAATTCCTGTAACTCAAGTATTTTTGTTCTTTTGATGTTGTCCCATAAATCCTGAAGCTTTCTTCATCCCTTTTCACTTTTTTCCTTTCTTTGCTGGCTGCATATTTTCAAATAACCTGTCTTTGAGTTCACAGACTTTTTTTCTCCTTGATCAATTTTGCTGTTGATATTTTCTATTGAACTTTTTATTAATTGTATTTTTCAGCTCCAGAATTTGATTTTTTAAAAATAATTGTAATATCTATTAAATTTCTAATGTTGATTATTTATTATTTTCCTGACTCATTGGGATATTTCTCTGATTTTTTGAGGTTCATTGAACATAAAATAATTATTTTGAATTCTTAGGCAGTTCACATATCTTAATTTCTTTGTGGTTAGTTACTGGGAGATTATAACACCACCAAAAGAATATGATATATTATTTGTTTCCTCATTACCTTATGCTGATGTCTGTTCATTTGGTGGAGAAGTCACCTCTTGGAGCTGTTCTGGGTTCATTTCACTATAGGAAGACCTATGCTGTTTATGGAATGGCACAAAAGTCAATACATTGCATATGGAACCAGCCTTTAAAAAGTCAAAACTGATTTATGGGAGAAGGTGGAGAGGGGCATGGTTTCACAGCTGCCTCACCCTGGGTAAATCGCTCAGCTTGTTCAACTCCTTAGAAAGCTGGAGGAAGCCCAGAAGATGAAGGGACTCCAGCAAAAGAGATCTGGAAGATGATACAGGCTGTTACCCTGGACAGTTCGTTTAAAATAGCTGGGTTTCCATTTCCACACCCTGCCTTCCTCCCAGGTTTGTTGAGGAGACCCAAAGAGATAAGATACGGGAAACTGTTTTGAACATTGTCAAGTGCTATACAAAGTAAGGTATGGTTAAACCTCTTCATTTTAGAACACGTTGGAATTTGAAGGCGCCCAATAAATACTGGTTTCCTCACCCACTTTCTGACTTAACTGAGTCAAAGATTTCCTTTCTTAACTGATGAAGATGATACAGTGTGGCTTGTATCTGTAGGCAAGAGGGATGATTCCCAACCTCAGGGTTAGATGGACTTAGGAGGCACAGGTCGCTTTGGAAAACCGTAGCCCATGTCTGGGGCGTGTCTGATGCTCTAAAATTTTCTGCTTCGATAAGAAGCAGACTGGACTGGGAACTCCCTGTGGCCAGCTGGCTCCCAAGAGGAAAAGGGGAGAGCTAGGCATGCTTTGTTCCTGTTTGCAAGTACAGGAATCAGAGTCCCTGCCTGTTCCCGGAGGGGTGTGAGGGTCTGGGGAGAAGCCAGGAGCATGCTTGTAATGCAAGACTCATTACACAAAAACTAGCAGGCTGGGGAAGGGAGATTCCTCCTATAGATAGTAGCGTAAATAGGCTGTGCTGAATTTAAAGCCCACAGCCCCTCAGTTTCTAGTTTCTCAACCTTGCTCATATAGTAATATGAGTAAGGCTGGTAACTGAGTACCATATAGTAATATGAGTAAGGCTGGTAACTGAGTACCATATAGTAATATGAGTAAGGCTGGTAACTGAGTAAGGTTGAGAAACGAGAAACTGAGTTTGTGGGCTTTGACTTCAGCACAGCCTATTTACGCTACTGCCAGGGGCTTATTGCCCACAGACGGTGATAGAGTGAGGCCCAGCCTTGGGAACATCTCGTGAAAGGCTTGCAAAGGGGACCTAAGAAAATGCCTGGGATGGTGGATTCACTCTGTGCTGGAGAAACTTAATGATTTGTGGTCATCAAAAATGAACTCCTTATTCACTTTCACAAGACTCAATGATTTATCATCCAATGTGAACTGTGTTCTGAATCCTATTCTCTACATACTTTGGTGCAGACACCTTCTCCATGTGCCATTTACAACGTGTGTATGTCACGAAGCCTTCTCTTTAGGGCTGAGCCAACTTGGCATTCTGTCTTGCATGATGTCTCCTTATAGACAGAAAATTCCAAACTGCCGGCATCCAAAAGTTAATGACTCATGATTACATGAGAAAAGAAGCATTAACAACGAATGACAAATTGTTTATACTTTGAATGTCATGGCTAATCACTTGGTTTTTAAAGATGTACTGTTACAGCAAAAAATTAGTGTTTAAGAAAAGATATATTTGCCTTTCTATGTGTCTTGTGACACTGTGAGTGACATCTCTCTTACGTACACTCAAAAATCTAACAATCATCGGGAGTAGGAATCGTAAATTTATATTGAACTCTAGTTGGTGAACTGAACCATAATTTTAGTTGTGGTGTGTATATGTGACTATGACAGTATAAGTACATATAATTTATAAAATATGTTTGGAAGTCCTTTGGGAGGGAGGAGGGAGAAGATTTTCCCTCTAATTTCCAAGGTTTAGTAACTGGGTCTATGAAATAAACTGACAACAGGCAGATTAACAGGATAAAAGATACACAAGTTTATTAAGTGCACAGGGACATCATAGGAAAAAAAGTCATACCCCTTAAAACAGTGAGATTTAGAAGGTTATATACCCTCTTTTTGGGGAAAGCAGGGAGGGGGGATGTAGGCAATTTAGGAGAGAGAAAATGATTTTGGGGAAAGATGAATAGACCCTCAGAATAAGTGATAGCTTGTGACAAACCTTGGGTGTGATGTCACCTCCATTCTCCTCTCCTGTGATAAGAGTTAATTTTCCCTGGTTGATGAAACTCCCAGGGGTGGGGGTACTGACGACAACTGAGCTCCTTTTGGAGGTTTTGTCTTTAGGCAGATAAAGGGAATTCAGAGAAAGCCACTGTCTGCATGTACTGTTTTTCAAGTTCCTCCAGCTCAAAGTAGTCTTTATGCCAAAGCAGCATATTTTGGGGTGGCCTGTCCTAAACTCCTACATACTACTTTAAATTATGTATAAACTTTACTCCCTAATGCCTGCATGTTCTTAATACATTTACCAGTGGTGTGACTGTAGGTGTCACTTGCCCTCTTTGTCTCTTTGTTCATCTGCAAAGTGGAGTCAATTACATTGTTAAGGATGCCTTTGGCTACAAGTAAGAGAAAACTGGACTCAATGAATTTCAAACAGTGAGGAAATGTATTATCACATGAGGCAAGAAAGCAAAGGTAGTGGTAGCTCCAGGCACGGGTTAATCAGGGATCTGGGTCCCCTCTTGGTGATTCTTTTGGCTCGGCATTCTCTCTTCGTGGTACTGTTGTTCTCAGGCTAGATTCCTTCATGGATGCAAAAAGGCTGCAGCACTTCCAGGCATAAACTACAGACCCAACAAGATCTGAAAGCGGGAGAGATTATTTTGGTGTGGCTTTTATAAAGAACAGAAAATGTCATTCTCTCTCTTTTTTTTTTTCTTTAAGATGGAGTTTTGCTCTTGTTGCCCAGGCTGGAGTGCAATGGTGTAATCTCAGCTCACTGCAACCTCTGCCTCCCGGGTTCAAGCGATTCTCCTGCCTCAGCCTCCTGAGTAGCTGGGATTACAGGCATGCACCACCATGCCCAGCTAATTTTGCATTTTTAGTAGAACCGGGGTTTCTCCATGTTGGTTAGGCTGGTCTCGAACTCCCGACCTCAAGTGATCCGCTTGCTTCACCCTCCCAAAGTGTTGGAATCACAGGCATGAGCCACCGCTCCCGGCTGGAAAATGTGATTCTCATGAGCAACTTCTCCCTCTCCACAACCAGCAAGCTTTTTCTCACATGTCATTGGCCAGAGTTGTATCACTGACTTGTACCTTGTAGGCCTGCTTAATTAGCTTAGACCAATAACGACTCGCCTCCTGGGACATCCCGCCCTGAAGTAATGGCCATGTGAAAGACAGTGCAACTTTAAGAAAACTGGAGTTCAGGCCAGGCTTGGTGGCTCACGCCAGTAATCCCAGCACTTTGGGAGGCTGAGCTGGGTGGATCACTTTCAGGTCAGGAGTTTGAGACCAGCCAGAACAACATGGTGAAACCCCATCTCTACTAAAAATACAAAAAATTCGCTGGGCATGGGTGGTGCACGCCTGTATTCCCAGTTACATGGGAGGCTGAGGCGGAGGATCACTTGAATCCGGGAGAAGGAGGTTGCAGTGAGCCAAGATCATGCCACTGCACTCCAGCCTGGGTTAGAGTGAGATCCTGTCTGAAAAAAAAAAAAAAAAAAAAACCCGGAAAACAAAACTGGAGTTCAATAGGAAGGAAGGCAGGAATTAGGCAACATACATAATAACCCCTATAGGATCATTATGAGGAACAGATAGAACATATGATTTAATGTGTTAGTATATATGAAACTCTTTAGAAAGTGTTGAAGACGTGGGAAGTGCTATGTGTGTATTTGCTGCTGTTATTGGGATTAGCATGTGGATTTGGTAAGTCTCAATGCCATACCAGTGAAAAGGATCATTGTGAATGGTGCTGTTTAGAGATAGAGGAAGAGAGATGGATTGTAAAGGTCAACAAGGTTAAGAGATCTCAGAAGCAAAGAGGAGATGGAGTGAGCAGTTGGCCTATGTTTGGTCATAGTCTGTATCTTGAGAGGAGGTAAAGCAGCCTTCTAAATAAAGAAAAAATATGATCGCTTAATGTGTTAATGAAACCCAGTCTCAATTGCCTCTTCTTTCCCACAGCTATTTTCTTTCACTAGTTGAAAGTGGTGTTTAACTGCAGACGTATTTTTAAAACAGCCAAGGTCTCTTAACCAAATAAAAAGCATAGATCCCATTACTTTTGATGAGGGAAGAATGGAGGTGGAAAATAGTGTATATAAGTATGTAAGTTTAAATCTTTTTATGAAAACACACACATAAAGCTTGGAAGAAACCATATAAAAGCTGTCAACCCTAGCCAAAAAGAAGGAAAAGAAGAAAATTGGCTTCCTAAGCTTTTAGCTATAAATAAAAATAACCTTCCTGATCTATGTTTGATGCATTACTTGGGAAAAACTTTACTCTTGTGTATTCTGAATGATTTTTGAGTGTTTTTCACACTTAAAAATCCCTGTAATGTTTGATGTCATTTTATACCACTTAGGACTTAGCTTTTCCTTCTGACCCCTTGATGTGTCATTTTAAATGTAACAGTGACAGTTGTAAGCCGTTCGAAATGTAACAGCCCATTTTATTTGTTTAAATTTTTGTTTTTTGAGACAGAGTCTTGCTCTGTCACCAGGCTGGAGTGCAGTGGTGCGATCTTGGCTTACTGCAGCCTCCAGCTCCCAGGTTCAAGCAATTCTCCTGCCTCAGCCTCCTGAGTAGCTGGGACTACAGGCACCTACCACCACACCTGGCTAATTTTTGTATATTTAGTAGAGACAGGGTTTCACCATGGTGGCCAGGATGGTCTTGATCTCTTGACCTCGTGATCCGCCTGCCTCGGCCTCCCAAAGTGCTAGGATTACAGGCGTGAGCCACTGTGCCCGGCCAAAAGCCCATTTTATTATGGCACTTCATTAATGCATCAAGTTTTATTCTTGCAACCTTGAGATTTGGGGGCTTACTGATCGTTACGTGTTTTTCTTGAATGCAAAGCCAATTACTTTCAGGGAGGGTGTCTATGTGACAGGAGAATTTGTCATATCAAATCCTTCCACTTCAGAGAAGCCGAAGAAGGCCTGGAGAAATTTGGGAGCTCTTACACAGCATGAAGATAGCAGTTTCTGTTTTCATTCTTCTTGGCCTTTTATCAAACTTACTTTCAATCTTTTCAGAGAGCAACGTTCCATTATTTACAATCAATCTCATAAAATGTGATGTTTGCCCATCTGTCTGGCTTGGCACTTAGCATATACGGGTCCAAGTAATCCTTTATTCCTTATCAGAGGTTTACATTTCCTCCTATGCATACCCTTCAAAAATGGGTCAGTGGGGGTATTTCTCCATATTTATGGAATATTTTAAGTTCAGCCTGCAGCTAGCTACTTGGAAGCTTCATGAGGGGTTGAGCAGCATGAACCAAGGAAAGGGCTGAAATGGAAATTGTGCTGATTTCATCTAATTACTTAGGGGTGGGAGACCCTCTGTTTCCACCATGAAATGCACTTAAGCTCCATTAACTTCCTCATGCAAAGCCTTCCTTTGAAAGTCAATTTAACAGACTGCACCAGCTGTCCTGAGTTGCTTCAAGCTCAAGAGAAAACACTTCCACAGAGAGCTAGGTTGCTTCATGCCGTGGTCCCAGAGCCTCCGGGGAAAATTGTTTATGCCAAAATCCTTTGCAAAGGCTCACAATGACCATGTCTGTAAATAGATTTGTGACATAGACTGTGGCTAGGACAACTTTAGACCGATGGAAGATTTTTTTCCCTCCACCCCGAATGTTATTTGGATCCCATTATTATTTGGCTTTAAAGGAGATGTTGGTCTTCAGCAATGAGTTGACCCACCTGCCTTTTTCCTTCCTGACATATTTTTGGCAAGAGTGGATTTAGTAGGTAGCGGCCACTTGGCAGGCTCTTGGGATGCTAGATTTTCACAATAACCCTGTGATGTGCATACTGTTCTGATCCTCATCTCACAGATGAGGAGACAGACTTGGTGGGCTGAAGCCATTTGCTCAAGCCACTGACTTGGCAGAATGTGGGCCGGAACTTAGGTCTGTGGAATTCCCAGCCGGTGCTCACGCAGCACTGCACAGAGATGTTTCTGGAAGGTGGTGCTCCCTGACGACACCTCGGAGGCCATCCAGGTTGCGAAGGGAAAGGCGCATGTCTTGGCCTCTTCCCTGTTGTTGGCACTACTCTTCTACCTCTTGCCCACTTTATCTCCCACTGAGAGACCCTATTCTAGGAATACCAACCCAGACTGCAGAGAGGAAGAAAGCCTGAGGGTCACCACAACATCCCTACGTTTGTGCAGAATGCTTTCTATTCTACGGGACACTTCCCCACATGTTACCCTGCTTGTTTGGGTCGGGATAATGCCCATTCTGGGTGTCAGGGCAGAAGTCCCAGCACGTGACCTGGCAGGCGGAGCTCAGGCAGCCAAGCGATTCTTTATCTGTGTTGACTTGTCCCAACCTTTGGCTCTAAGGGAGGGTCCCGCAGCCTTGAGCTCTCTGGCCATCTTCCACATTTCTCGCCTCTCCCGACTGCACCCTGCCCCACCTCGTGTTTTGTTTCTGCGTAATTTGTCACTGTGGTGGGAAAGCTTCTAGAGCCTACTACGAAAGTACTGGAGGCACGTCCAGCATCTTGGGCTTCGGTCTGTTTACCCAACACTGCTCAGGGCTGGAATGTCACCTTATAAATCTCCCTGCCTGGCAGCTGCTTTCTGTGGCCAACAGGCAGATAAGCCTTGAACCCAGGGTGGGGGAGTTCCCATCCTCAGGGGCACCAGGACTCAGACTGTCTCTCTCCCGCCTCCGTCTTTCTCTGTCCTGGCTTTTCTCCCCATCTCTCCCAAACACACACAGACGACACACTCAAAGATAATGAAATAATGACTCCAGAGTTCTGTAAAGCTGCAGGATAAAAACACAAAAGATACTCAAAAGTCTGTCTATGCTTTTTGTTGCTTTTGCTTTCAAGGACAGTACAGTTATGCTGAGAAAACCTTTGTGTGTGTGTGTGTGTGTGTGTTGTGTGTGTGTGTGTGAAATGGAGTCTTGGTCTGTGGCCCAGGCTGGAATGCAGTGGCACGATCTCGGCTCACTGCAACCTCTGCCTCCCAGGTTCAAGTGATTCTTCTGCCTCAGCCTCCCAAGTAGCTGGGATTCCAGGCATGTGCGACCACGCCTGGCTAATTTTTGTATTTTTAGTAGAGACGGGGTTTCGCCATGTTGGCCAGGCTGGTCTTGAATTCTTGACCTCAAATTATCCGCTTGCTTCAGCCTCCCAAGGTGCTGGGATTACAGGTGTGAGCCACTGTGTCTGGCCAGGAAACCCCTTAAAAAGGAGAGAAAATTGTTATTTTCCTTGGGCCTCACTTGTGAGTGTTTTGGGTGCCATGGGACGCAATGGTAAGGGCTGAGCTTGGAAGAGGCTCTGGCTTTGACCAGCCATGAGATCCAGGCCACACTGCTTACCCTCTCTGGGCCTCTGATTATTTGGCTATAAACCAAGGAGTTTGGAGGGAATGGTTTGTAAGGCCCCTTCCAGCTCTGACAGTCCTGGCAGAGGAGATGCTGTAACTATGGTTTCCCACCCTGCTCCTTAGCTCACCCTGACCCCTGACTACACAAATAGAGGAGTATTTGGGTAATTAGTAATTGTTGGGTATCTGTTAGCCAGGCACTGTGCTGAGGAATCATGAAGTATATTTCTAAACTTTTTAGCTTGTAGGTTGGGCACGGTGCCTCATGACTGTAATCCCAGCACTTTGGGAGGCCGAGGCAGGTGGATCCCCTGAGGCCAGGAGTTCGAGACCAGCCTGGTCAACATGTTGAAATCCCATCTCTACTAAAAACACAAAAATTAGCTGGGCATGCTGGCGGGCACCTATAATCCCAGCTAGTCGGGAGGCTGAGGCAGGAGAATCACTTGAACCCAGGAGGCAGAGGTTGCAGTGAGCTGAGATTGCATCACTACACTCCAGCCTGGGGGACAGAGCGAGGTGCCATCTCAAAAAAAAAAAGATTGTAGCTTGTGAAATGATGAAGATGGGTGAGTTGGGAGTGGGGGCCATTGCTGGTCTGCAGTGGACTGGGGCAGTGGTAGGAATCTGCTGATGTGGGTCCAGTATTTAATCCTTCATTCCCCCTATGTGGCGACACCTGCTATTTTTGTCAGCCTCTGGCTTTTGGCAATGGTGGACCTTACTTTTCTTTGGTTACCCATTCCCACTAGGTTGATCACATCCCCAGGATCTAGGACTGGCCAATTAGAACTGCGTCTCTCCCCTGGCCATGGTGAGTGGTCAAGGAACAGGTGGGGACCTAAGCCAGGCAGTGAGACCTTTGCTGGAACCATAGGGAAAGAAGCGTGCTGTTCCCAGGGGGGTTGGCAGGCTGGAGGGGTACAGGATGAACCTGCCGAGGATGAGGATGAGGCTGATGTCAGCTTGGGGCAGCAGAGAGGAGAGGAGCTTCAGTGGCCTCATGGTCTCCCCTGCCCCCCAGCTCTGGCAGAATCTGGAATTGGGCCTGGTCCTGTCAGCTATGTAGAACAATAGATCTCTTTTTCTCTATGGAAGTTTTGAGCTGAGTTTCTGCCCCTACAATTGAGTCAAGACCAGGCCTGCTCTTCAGGCACTACTGCCGTTTGCCACATCGTCTGGGCTGCTCTTGACCCTATGGGGTGAATCAGGGAGGATGCGTTTGGCTTTGAAATGGTACCCAAAGCAGCTTAAGCAGGAGGGGGTCTATCATCTCCTGTAACAGGAAGCCCAGGTGGCATGGGTCTGGGATTGGTCATTTGTGGCTCAGGTCGTCTGGTTTTTGGCACCTGCAGCTGCTGGCTTGGCTCTTAGGTCTGTCGCCTCATGGTGTCAGGTTGCAGTTCTAGAAATTGCCACCTCACACAACTGCTTTATCCCAAGTGGAAGTTTCTCCCTAAACTTCTTCATGGTCTTGGGTTGTTGGGTTTTTTTTGTTTGTTTGTTTGTTTACTTTTGTATTAGGTTGTTCTTGTGTTGCTATAAAGAAATATCTGAGACTGGGTAATTTATAAATAAAAGAGGTTTAGGCCAGGAATAGGGGCTCAAGCCTGTAATCCCAGCACTTTGGGAGGCTGAGGCAGGTGGATCACCTGAGGTCAGGAGTTGGAACCGAGCCTGGCCAACATGGTGAAACCCCGTCTCTACTACAAATACAAAAATTAGCCAGACGTGGTGTGAGCCTGTAGTTCCACCTATTTGGGAGGCTGAGGCAGGAAAATCACTTGAACCCAGGAGGCCAAGATCACGCCACTGCACTCCAGCCTGGGCAACAGAGCGAGGCTCCTTCTCACAAAAAAATTAACAAAAAAGACAAGAAAAGAGGTTTAACTGGCTCACGGTTCAACAAACTATTGAGGAAGTATGGTGCTGGCACCTGCTTGGCTTCTGGGGCAGTCTCAGGAAGCCTGCAATCATGGCAGAAAGTAAAGGGCAGCAGGCTCATCGTATGGCCAGAACAACGAGGGAGGTAGGAGGGAGGTGCCGCACGCTTAGAAACAATCAGATCTCGAGAGAACTCTCACTATCGTGAGGACGGCACCAAGGGAATGGTGCGAAGCCATTTGTGAAAAATCCACTCCCCTGATCCATTCACCTCCCATCCGCTCTCACCTCCAAAACTGGGGACTGCAGTTCCACGTGAGACTGCGGCAGGAACACAGATCCAAACTATGTCGTCGGCTTTCTTTGTTTCATTTTGTTTTAAATCAGAAAAAATTCTAGCAACCTTTAGCAGACTTTTATGTTTCTGTGACAGAAAAACAAAATCAGACACGAGTTACGGTTGGTAAAGATAGATTTCGTTCAGTATTACTGCAGTGCAGGAGAGAGGCTTCGGTATAGAGCTAAGCTCGGCCCCGAACCCTTTAGAGGTGACTGGGTGTCTTAAAAGGAGGAAGAGGGGAAACCTGCAGGGGCCTGAGTTAGTTAGGAAGTGGAAATTGACAAAGTTACACAAAGTGGCCAGGGGGGTTGGTCAGTGTGCTTAGGCCATCTGGGCCTGCTAACTGACCCTTTGGAAGTTAGGCTCCCACCTTTCTGTGGAGACTCAGAGACAGAGCCCTTGTCCTTTCTGATGATTAATTTCAAAGGAACAGTTTTTAGGTCTTTGAAAAAGACACTCCTGAATTGCAAAAGGTACATACACATCTCATAAGGGACAGAGAAAGGATTTATAATTAGCTTTGTTTCAAAAAATGCTCTGTGAAAAGGGAGGTCAGGTGCCTATTGGGTTGCTGGCTAGAACAAATGGTAAATTCTGTTGGCAGCCTTGAGTTTTTTCAGACTGGAACTTAAGGGAGATTGGATCATTCCAGGGACATGACCTGAGGCTGCTAGGATAGTGTGTTCAGGTCTCTTGTGTGTGAGTTTGTGGTGGTGGGTGGAGGGAGGAGGTGACATCCTTTGTGCTAAAAGTTGTAGCTGTTCTAGGCCAAGGCTGAGACCTAGCTAAGAAGAGGGCTCAGAGGAGCTTGACTAAAGTTTAGTCCAGGAGAGAGTCTTTGTGATTCTTTTGGCCAGATTACATTACCTGCCCGGGATAAACCAAGCCAACAGAAGCTCCAGGCAAAAGAAATGCAGTTTCCCTAATTATCATATAGTCTAGACTCATTAAGCTTCATCCCCTGGAGATGGGGAAGGCCTCTCTTGGCACAATACCATGAGGAGGGTGAACAAAATCGAGGTCCCATGGGTAGGAAGAAGGGAGCAGGGAGCAGCCATTAGGTTTATGGCTGGGTCTCTGTGCTGACAGGGACACGGCAGCCATGACAGAAAGAGGACCCTGACCTTCATCTAGACCATTTTCCTGCTCCATAGGAATGCTAGGTAGAGGAAGATTGGTCTGAAGAGTGTAATTGGCCTAGCTCCCTCAGGGACAGTCCAGCCTACTTTGAAAAGACATAGAATGATGGGATAAGAAACTTTTCATTTCTTCTTGGGCTGGGGTAGGGTTGGTGGTTTGGCAAGATTGCAACCCAGTGGTCACAAGTCACTGAAACAAGAGTGAAGTGGCTGGGCGCTGTGGCTCATGCCTGTAATCCCAGCATTTTGGGAGGCCGAGGTGGGAGGGAGGATCACCTGAGCCCAGGAGTTCAAGACCAGCCTGGGCAACATAGTGAGATCTTATCTCTTAAAAAATTATTTAGGGCTGGGCACTGTGGCTGACATCTGTAATCCCAGCACTTTGGGAGGCTGAGGCAGGCAGGTCACTTGAGGTCAGGCGTTTGAGGCCAGCCTTGCCAACATGGTGAAACCCATCTCTACTAAAAATATAAAATTAGCCAGGCAGGTGGCACATGCTTGTAATCCCAGTTACTTGGGAGGCTGAGGTTGCAGTGAGCTGAGATCGCACCACTGCACTCCAGCCTGGGTGACAGAGTGAGACTCTGTCTCAAAAAATAAAATAAATAAACAACAAAAAACAAACACAAAAATTAGCTGGGCATGGTGGCACACACCTATAATACCAGCCACTTGGGAGGCTGAGGTGGGAGGATCACCTGAGCACAGGAGGTTGAGGCTGCAGTGAGCTGTGATCTCACCAGTGTACTCCAGCCTGGGTGATAGATCAAGACCCTGTCTCTCAAAGAAAAAAAAATATGAAGTTACTGAACCTGGGTTTGGCTACAAACTAGATGATCCCTGGGTCTGAGTTGGAATTTGCCTCCCTTTCCTCTATCCCAACACCTTGCCCCATAATAACTGTGGGCAGGCCTGGAAATGACTTGAATTTGCCTAAGAAAGGCTGTATTTTCACACAGGAATGAGACTCTAAAGTGTTGGAGTAGGATCAGGAGTGGAATCCTAATTGGAGAGTGAGTAGTAGAGTCTTCTTAAGCAAAAGACTACAGGTTGCCCAAGTTAGATATGTCCTTGAAAAGTTAATTACATTGTTTCAGTTACCTTAGGAGAGCTTGCTATTTAAAGGGATCTTTACTTCTTTAAGGAAATGGAAGTAAACAATTTTGTGTGATTCATCACTTCACTGGGTATACCAAGGAATCTAAATGCCAGACACATCTGAACAATAGGATTGTTCTAAGCATTTTAAAAATAAATGATTATTCATGACAAAAACTTGAACAGTTTGTTCTTGTGGGTGGTGTGTGATGATCGTGTGAAGTGCTAGGCTGTGAATGACAACTGGTAATGTCTAGGTGGGACAGTACACATTCTAAAAATGGACAGGCAGATGGTGATGGGTATTTGCAAGGCTATTATGGCAGTCCTATGGGTTTCACAACTATCATGACTGTCTGAGTCCCTTATGTTTTCAAGGATAAGTCATTTTGAATCATTGGATTATAACTGGGCTCATATTTTATAAAATATGTGTTATATCCCATTTGCCATAGTTTGGTTTGTCCCCTCCAAATTCCATGTTGAAATTTGATCCCCGACGTTGGAGGTGCCGCCTAATGGAAGGTGTTTGGGTCATGGGGGTGGATCCCTTGTCAATGGCTTGGTGCCATCTCCGTGGGAATGAATGAGTTTTCACTCTGTAAGTTCCTATGAAAGCTGGTTATTAAAAAGAGCCTGGTGCCTCCCTTCTCTCTTGCTTTCTCTCTCACCATGTGATGCCAGCTTCCCTTCACCTTCCACCATGAGTGGAAGCTTCCTGAGCCCCTACCAGAAGTAGATGCTGGCGCCATGCTTCTTGTACAGCCTGCAGAATTGTGAGCCAAATAAACCTCTTTTCTTTATGAGTTACCCAGCATCAGATGTTCCTTTATACCAACACAAATGGACAAAGACGTAATTTGATAATCTACATCATGGAAAGAAAATTCAGGATCATTCCAAATCAAAACTATTTGAGTTGAATGTCTTTTATGAACACTTTGTTTCAATTCAATATAGCCAAGCCAGTAATTTGGGATAGGACAGATAATGGGCATTCTGGGTAAACTACTAGAGTATTGATTTTCTGAGTGACTTGTAGACATTGCATAGCATAATTTCTCCTCACTAGATCAGAGGCCAGTAGACTATAGCCTGTAGCTACATCTGATCAACTAGTTAAATCTGGCCTGGTACCTGTTTTTGTGTGGCCTCTGAGTTAAGTGTGCTTTTTAAAATTTTTTAGTAGTTAAAATGAATATTTTGTGCATTAAAATGTATGAAATTCAAATTGATGGCTGTAAATAAGGTGTTTTTGGATCACAGCCATGCTCAGTTGTTTACTAATTGTCCTTGTCAGTGGCTGCCTTTGTGCTACAGAGTCATGGTTGAGTAGTTGCAACAGAAATGGGATGGCCCACAAAGCTGAAATATTTATTATCCGGCCTTTACTGAAAAAGTTTGCCAGTGCCTGTTCTAGACACTTTGGAAGTCTAGCTTCCAAAGACTTATGTTGTTCTCTTCTTCTCCCTACACAAAAGGTTTTTTTTCTTCTGTGATCAAGGCTTCTGAGCATTGCCTGGGGCCGAGTGCCTCGAGGCCCCCTGTGGCTCTTCTGAAGTCACAGCTCCACAGGGTAGAGCTGAGCAAGCTGTCCTCCCAGCTCGTGGTCCCCCAGCAAGGCAGCAGTAAGACTCACAGCAGAGAAAACTCTGCCCATGTTTAAACAGTGTGTGTCTGAGCAGTAGGCTAATAACTTCTCCGTGGCATGCCTGTTCAAACACAATCAACCACAGATCTTCTGTTTTCCTTTTGCTTCTAATCGTACCTGTATTCTCTCTGTATTTTAATCTTGTTTAATTTCCTCAGTATATCCCTACAGATGTAGTATTGGGGATATAAAGACATGAGCTAGTGGAGCGGGAGGGGGTCTGATAGGGTTTGGCTGTGTCCCCACCCAAATCTTATCTTGAATTCCCGTGTGTTGTGAGAGGGACCTGGTGGGAGGTGATTGAATCACGGGGTCAGGTCTTTCCCGTGCTGTTTTCATGACAGTGAATAAGTCTCATGAGATCTGATAGTTTTAAAAATGGGAGTTTCCCTGCACAAGCTCTTTGCCTGCTGCCATCCTTGTAAGATGTGACTTGCTCCTCCTTGCCTTCTACCATGATTGTGAGGCCTCCCCAGCTGTGTGGAACTGTAAGTCCATTAAACTTTTTTTTTCCTGTATAAATTACCCAGTCTCGGGTACGTCTTTATCAGCAGTGTGAAAACGGCCTAATACGGGGTCCAACAGGACTGTGTGGATTACCCCTCCCTCCCTTCCTTCCTTTGATATTCTTTGAATAAGATCAACTGTAGCCCTCAAGAAGCTCAAAATCTGAAGGAAAGCAGAGTAAAACATCTAACCAGATGAACTGCAAGAGGATGATAGAAATAAACCCATGGATGTGCACATGGTACAGTGGTAACCTGGATGAGAACTTCATTTACTCAGCAGAGGTTGAGGTTAAGGGCATGTGGTGAGGGAAGGCTTTGAGGTCACACCTGGCCTGGGGCTTGAAGGAGGATGGTGATAAATTGCTGGGCTCCCAAAATGACTGGAATCTCAGGCAGAGAACACTGAATTTGCAGTGTCACCAAGTCATAAAATAGCCACATGCACCTGGAGAATTCGGATTCGTTCATCAATGCCAAAGGATGAAGTTCAAAATGGGGCAAGGAGGAGGAAGTTGCCACTGGAAAGTAAGAGGGGAACTCGGCTGTGAAGACACATCATGGGCTAGTCTGGGAGTTATTCTAGATGATGGAATGCCATCAAAACATTTCAAGC
Source organism: Homo sapiens (assembly GCF_000001405.40). Taxonomy (NCBI): domain Eukaryota; kingdom Metazoa; phylum Chordata; class Mammalia; order Primates; family Hominidae; genus Homo; species Homo sapiens. The sequence goes on along the minus strand of NC_000010.11, from coordinate 12,952,480 downwards.
TGGAGAGAAATACATTCTGGGTTCTGTTTTGTTCTCTCAGTCTACCTGAGTATATTCATTTGCACCTCAATGAAACATGATTTCTTTGTTGGGTTCAATACATGGTCCATGACCGTAAAAGATTATTTTTGAGTTTGGGGATTGTCCTAATTCATTCTATCATCAAGTCATAATGATTTGCTGAGCTAATATTTATTGAGGGCCTACTTTGTGCCAGGAACTATCCTAAGAACTGAGGATGGAGCAGTGAACCAACAAAACCTTCTCCCTCCTGAGGTCACATTCTATCTGGTGCCTGCTAGATAATATGTTCATGGTCTGGGGAGAACCACATGAGCCTGTTTCTTGGTCTCACCTGATTTGGGCACGATCAGTTTGGCTATGTTCTCTAGGCGGCTAGAAGTGGCTAGAAGTCATTTCTATTCTGTACCTTTATTTCCTTATCTGTCCAAAGGGTATACTCGTGGCCTATGGTGAAGATACCAGAAGGTTGTACTAGACATGGTACAGACAGGGACTGAGTTTCTTGGAAGGTGAATGCACAAGAGACATAAAAAGAGGAGTTCTTACAAAAACACCAGCGATCCCTCTCCACTGTGTATGAAATCAGTGGCTTCCATGTGCTCTGGGCTGTAGCCCACACAAAGAACAACTTTTTTTTTTTTTTTTTTTTTTTGAGATGAAGTCTCACTCTGTTGTCCAGGCTGGAGTATTGTGGCTCAGTCTCAGCTTACTGCAACCTCCGCCTCCCAGGTTCAAGTGATTCTCCTGCCTCAGCCTCCTGAGTAACTGGGACTACAGGCGCATGCCATCACACCCAGCTAATTTTTTGTATTTTAGTTAGAGACGGGGTTTCACTGTGTTAGCCAGGATGGTCTCCATCTCCTGACCTTGTGATCCACCCGTCTCAGCCTCCCAAAGTGCTGGGATTACAGGCGTGAGCCACAGAGTGTCACAAAACTGCATAAATGATGCCTGATACTTCCTGTCCACCCTGCTTTATTTACAGATGCTGGTAGAGACCCCCGGATGGATTTCACAGCCCACTGCTAATGGATCATGCCCTGTAGATTAGGAGCCATCGCATTAGGTCAAACATTCCTTAAATGGGTTTTAAACTTTTTTTTGAGACAGTCTCACTTTGTCACCCAGGCTGGAGTGCAGTGGTGCAATCACAGCTCTCTCTAGCTTGGCCTACTGCTTCAGCCTCCCGAGTACCTGGGACTACAGGTGCACACCACCATGTCCAGCTAATTAAAAAAAATTATTTTTGTAGAGATGAGAGTCTCACTATGTTTCCCAGGTTGGTCTTGAAGTCCTGGACTCGAGTATTCCTTCCAAAGTGCTTGAATTACAGGCATGAGCCACTGTGCTTGGCCTAAACTTTTTATTTCTCACAGTGCTCACTGAATACTTTCTGATTGATTGCCTCAGCTCCTGCTTGGCCTTTTCTAACCCAAGCTACTGTGCAGAGTGAGCCAGAGAAAGCTCAACCTTCGTGTTATCGAGGAAGGCCAGACAGACGCACCCTACTGCAGACTCAGCCCCTCTCAAGGTGACCTAGGCTGACCTGTCATGATTACTCCAGTTGGGCATTAAATGGAGTCAGGTGTGGTGGGGGAGCAGCCACCCCCAAGCCCCCCATATCTTCCTCACAGAGTCTGTCAGTGCTGAATATGTGATTGTGTCATGACGCCTTTCTCTAGAGAAGCCCACAGGTCTGAGCTTGTGTGGTATGTGGGTGCTTCTAAGGGTTTCTGACATGGGCGAGGAGTCAGGAACTGTAGAAATGTTTGCATTTGCCTTCTGTGTTCTAACAGTATACAGGAGAGGAAGTCAAAGTCCAGGATAAGGAGAAAAAAATGATAACCAAGTGCAAGGTTTTTAGGGTCACCAACCCCAAAGTATGAAAGCATTTCATGTTGTTTCAGTAGAGAACAATTTGCCTCGTTCTGCTCTTTGCATCTGAACTGATCTCAGTCTTAATGGCTAGAATCTGATGGGGTGGTGGATGAATTCTTTAGATTGTTGCTTTTTAATCCCAGCAGATGCCTGTATTTTTAATTGAAACAAACCCCTGGGAAGAGCATCCTCCTGACCATTTAGGTTGAATCTCTTTCTCTTAAAACTGCTTTCCGGAGGGTGCTTTGGAGAGCATTTCCTGTTAGCTTGAACTCTTACACCTGAGGCCTTATTTGTCATGTGTAGTTATTCATGCATTCAATAATTATTAAGCTCCAGCAGGCAGAGGAAGGCCTTGGGTTAGTCAGGGCACTGGTAACAGCTTCTATAGGAGATGGGACAAGAAAAGGACCCATGTGGTCTGGATTGGGCAAGGAAAGCTTTTACAAGGAGAGAGAACAGTAGATGCAGGAAAGGGAATGGGAGGCTGGGGGCATGGCCAGAGTGAAGGCATGGAGAAGAGACAGCAGAGATGAGCACAGGAGGTGATGATGGGCTTGGATGTGACAGGTGGCACCAACTAGGAGAGAACACAGGTGTGTGAACCCAAAGTAGGCACACAGATATGGATACCACATGGCTGCTTTGAAGTGTGTATCTCTGGGTCTACACGGTCACCAAATATACATTAGATGAGATGACCTCAGCCTGATTTCACCACCTAATTTCTTGACAGTCTCTGCACCCATTACCATTTGCTTCCTTAGAAGTCATGATTGCACTTTCCTCTGGGCAGAAAACCCAGATATACTGGTATTAAGACTGGAATAGTCTTTTGCTTCAGGATCTGATAGGATCTCCTGAAAAGAGCCAGGCCAGGCTATTACTTACATTGATTTAGGAAAGTGAACCTGCGATTATAATTTTTTTCTCAGCAAGCAAGGCAGTTATGTATCTTGTTGGGGAAAGTAGTGTGTATTCTTTAGGATTCAGCTCAGCTTCAGTATTGGAAAACCCTAGTAATACTGGCTCAGGTAGATGTTTATTTCTCTTGTGTGAAGTCCAGGCTGGAATGGAACTCCACAGTGTCAGATCCCTCCATCGGGTGGCTCCACTGAGCATGGCCTCCGTGGCTAAGTTCAACTCCTGGTCCAAGATGGCAGCTCCAGCCATATCACGTCTGCATTCCAGCCAACAGGAAGGAAAAAAGAGTAAGAGAAGGACATGCTTTTTCCCTTTATGAAGCACTTCACTGAAGCTGTGCACACCACTTCTGCTTATATCCCATAGCCAAAACTTACTCATGTGGCCACACCCGGTTCAAGGCAGGCTGGGATATGTGGTCTTTATTCCCGGCAGCCATGTGCCCAGTTACAGAGTTCTCTTAGCAGCTTTTACTAAGGAGGAAACAAGGGGAACACTGGCAGTTGTGTCTGGCTCTTCTGCTATTTAGCTAACCAGCAGTGTTTGCTCCCAGGAGCCCCCAAAATTGTGATGTTGCAGTTCACTCATGGCCCAGCTACTGAGGACATTATGTAGGTATCCCCATAATGTCATGAGATATAAAAGAATTGCCTCCCAGCACTTTGGGAGGCCGAGGCGGGTGGATCACGAGGTCAGGAGATCAAGACCATCCTGGCTAACACGGTAAAACCCTGTCTGTACTAAAAATACAAAAAATTAGCCGGGCATGGTGGTGGGCGCCTGTAGTCCCAGCTACTCGGGAGGCTGAGGCAGGAGAATGGCGTGAACCCGGGAGGTGGAGCTTGCAGTGAGCCGAGATAGGCCACTGCAGTCCAGCCTGGGCAAAAGAGCAAGACTCTGTCTCAAAAAAAAAAAAAAAAAAAAAACTGCCTTAAAAATGAGGACTTAAATTTTTACCCCTTTTCGTCTTCAGTTGGTCACCAAATTTAGCGCTTCTAGTAATTTAAGGTGTTGGACCAGTGGTCTAAAGAAGGGCAAACTCTATTTGACAATGACTCTCACATTAGAGTTGAAGAAAGAGATACACTTTTTCAACTCTAGGAAAAGTCCCAAAGGTAGAGAAAACACACGGGGTTCTGGAGCTGAAGGTGGCCCCTCCCGTGTGTGTGTGTGTGTGTGTGTGTGTGCAATTGTCTGCCTGCCTTTAGCCACATCAAACTCTTCACCATGATATCACACATGCCTGAGAGAGAGGCCCTGGTCTCCTCCATATCCTGAGTCAGTTTAGTATATGGGCTGTATTAGTCTGTTCTCATGCTGCTAATAAAGACATACCTAAAACTGGGTAATTTATGAAGGAAAGAGGTTTAATGGACTCACAGTTCCATGTGGCTGGGGAGGCCTCACAATTATGGTGGAAGGCGAAGGAAGAGCAAAGGCACATCTTATGTGGTGGCAGGCAAGAGAGTGTGTGCAGGGGAACTGCCCTTTATAAAACCATCAGATCTCGTGGGACTTATATAATGAGAACAGCATGGAAAAAACCTGACCCCATGATTCAGTTACCTGCCACAACCCATGGGGATTATTACAATTCAAGGTGAGATTTGGGTGGGGACACAGAGTCAAACTGTATCACCGACCAAGAGCTGGGCTCTGGAGTCAGGCTGCATGTGTTCAAAGCTTGGGTCTTCCAATTTCACTTAATAGGTGAGACATCTTGGGTCTGTCTTCTGAGCCTCTGTTTCTCCCATCTATGAGCTGAGGGACAATGCTAATAAGAGCAGGCACACCACAGGATTGTCAGGAGGCCGTGCTTAGCACAATACCTGACCCGTTGGTAAGGACTTAAAGGAAGTCAATCCACTGCTCTCCTCTAACTCATCTCTTCATACAAGAGGCACTTAATTATCAATTTATTAGTTACTGCTAAGCCCAACTCTTAGCAATGTATTCTACTCAGTCAGGTACTGAGTATCTCCTGTTTGTCCAGCTCCTGTTGCCTGGCTCAAAATAATTAGAAGATCTAGATTCCCGTCCACAGGGAGTGTATAATCTACTTGAAAATATAAAACACCATATAGGGTGGCCTGTAGCTGAGGTGACAAAGTCACAGGCCATTTTATCAGTGCCTCATGTATTTTTAGCACCCAACACTCTGGCACATGGTGGAAGCTCATGAAATATTTGTTGTATAGAAGTGAACAGGCCAGGTGTGGTGACCCACGCCTGTAATCTCAGCACTTTGGGAGGCCAAGGCAGGCAGATCACTGGAGGTCAGGAGTTCCAGACCAGCCTGGCCAACATGGTGAAACCATGTCTCCACTGAAAATACAAAAATTAGCCAGGTGTGGTGGTGGGCGCCTGTAATCTCAGCTACTTGGGAGGCTGAGGCAGGAGAATCACTTGAACCTGGGAGGCAGAAGTTCCTGTGAGCCAAGATCATGCCACTGCACTCCAGCCTGGGCTACCAAGCAAGACCCTGTCTCCAAAAAACAAAAAAAAAAAAAAGTGAGCAAAAGATGAGAATGGGAATGTTACATTACTTTGAAACTACATCAGGCACTCCAAAAAACTAAGGAGACAGAGCTGTGGGTGGCAGAATTTTTGACCGAAAATAAACTGTGGAGATAGAAACAAAAAAGGAAAACCAGCAATAAGAGAGCTGGCCTCTGTCTTTTGCTTTTCCGTTCGGTTTTCTATTTCTTCTTGGCTTCCATCCTCCCTTATGCTAGTGGCGGAGGGGGCTGAATGTAGTGACAGGATCTTTAGGAAAGTATAATTTTGAGGTAGTACAGGATGAGATGATTACCAAATAAGGTAATAATTCCCAAATAGGAGGGAAAATGCATGTTGATTAAAGGAGGGAAAAGGCAGAAGACAGAATGAAGAAAGAACACCTTTTCCTGCTACAATAGCAAATGGAGTTTTTGAGTCTTAGGGCATGGTGAAATACAATACCTGTGAAAAACTGTAGATAAATTAAATTTAACAGAATGTGAGCAAAGAACAGTTCATGAATCGGGCACCACTCAGAACCAGAATAGGTTCAGAGAGCTCTGCTTAGTAGTGTGAACCATGAGCTGCTCTAGGCCGAACAGGAAGCAAAGTAGAGAAATGACCTGATTAGCCACAGTTGGGCATTTGTCTTATTGGGCATGATCGGATCAGTTGGCTGCCTAGGATTTGCTGAGACCTGGCTATTTGTTACCAAAAAAAAATACTCCTAAGTTAGTTAGTTTTCAGTTTGTTTACATACTAATAAATTAAGGTGCAGTTTGTTATGTAGAAACTCACAGTACAGAGACAGCCTCTGCTAGTTGAACAATTTCCCCTTTTTGGTCAGCCTCTCAAGATTGACACTGATGCTCAGACATTGACGCAGCCTTAGACACTGATGCTATTGCCTGTCAGTCACTATCATAGTGGACATGTTTGGTTTCAGTATGGAATTCACAAGCCATGACATCAAGTCTGTTGAATGACTTGTTATGTTCCCTTTGTGGTTTTGCTGCTATAAATGGAGTGAGGCCATTTGGGGCAGAATGGGTGGCCGCATTTAAGACTCTTGAGAGAATACAGTGCCCTAGAGATACTACTATGATGACGTATCAGGAGGATAGTACTAACAGACTGAAATATGCTCCTTAACCAATGCACCCATGAACCAAACCAATTACAACCAACTAAACCAAAGAATTAGGCAGAAGAATCTACTTGTTTTAACCAAGTTGCCTGTTTGTTATCTAAGTGCAGCAGAAGGTGTTAGCTATCACACACACACTGCACCCCATTCAGCCAACAGATAGTCAAAGGCAACCTTGTTATCTTAAATAACTTGAACATAGTTATAGAAAAACCTTAGTTCTTTTTACTAGAAATGATTCCATTTTCTTAATCGAAGAGCAAAGACAACATGAAGCACGGGAAATTATCTTGATAAAACAGTCTTTATTTCCTAGACCAATTACTTAAAAGGTAAAGAAAAACCTTTTACCCTATCTTATTAAGAGCAGACTAGAACTCCAAGAAAACCTTGCTGTTTTAACACAGAGGACCACATTCTAGTTTTGTATCAGCGTACTTTTGATATTAATGTTAGAATTTAAAAGCAACTTAATTCCCTTCAAATATTAGCAAATATTAGGAATTTGATCACACATATAATTCCTTTCCCATGATTCTACTTTTACAAGCATCCTACAGTTTTCTTATATCCATTCGGGGTTTTTTTTTTCCCTATACTTTTTTTCTCACTGTGGAACAATGCCATTCTATTTTAGGACAAAAATTATTCTCTTTTTGCCTTTAACAAAACACATTCTCCTACCTTATAGATTTTCTGAAAATTCATCTTACTTATTTTGTATGCTTGCATATAGAGTTGTTTCCCGTATTATTTCTGGTAATTTTAGTTATATACTAAATCATCTTAATTTCCAGTGAAAGGAAGCAAGCAGTTGTGAACCCTATTACACTAGCTGTCTGTAGATTGACAAATTTATGAATCATAATTTCTAGAAGCATGTGCTTCCTCATAGAATAATTTTTTTCATTGTGACACAGAACATGTTTACTAACAGATTCAGCTATCTTTAGTCTCTAATAAAAAGCTATAGGGGAGGGAAAGTTGTATCTCTATCCTTATTAGAATTTTTGGCTAGGCCTGAGAATGAAATTGTTGTTTGTACACATTTTCCTCAGCCTGAACTTCCATCCTTGGTAAGAATATTAAAACCTTCTAGTATAGGGAAGACCCCTTTCCCATGGGAATATTTTTCCTACATCTAATTCATTGTTCTTAACAATTATACTTGGATTGCTCATGACAATGAGACATTAAGTATCCGTCACCTTAAGTTATTTTTCTTGCTAACAAATTTTGTACTACAGAGGTAACATGAGCTTATTTTACTAGTAAACATAGGTAGGAAAAGTTATGAGTCTGTATTATATTTCTAAACTGGAAAGTGTCTGAGACAGGTTTCAATCAATTTATAGGTTTATTTTGCCTAAGTTAAGAACCATGGCCCATTATATGGCCCCAGGAAGTCTTGAGAACATGTGCCCAAAGTGGGTGGTTTACAGCTTGGTTTATACATTTTAAGGAGACAGACATTGCAGGCAAAGACATAAATCAATAGATGAAATGAATACATTGATTCGGCCCAGGAAAGCAGGACATCTCAAAGCAGGGGCTTCCAGGTCAGAGGCAGATTCAAACATTTCCTGATTGGCAGTTGGTTGAAAGAGTTAAGCTCTGCCTGAAGAATTGAATTCAGCATTAAAAAACGCTTGTGTTTAGAGAAGGGGGTTGTGGAAGCCAAGGTTCTTGTCACGTAGATGAAGCCTCCAGGTAGCAGGCGTCAGAGAGAATGGATGGTGAATGTCTTCTTGGACCCTAAAATGTATCAGACTCTAGTAAGGGAAGGAGATTCTCAATGGAACACAAGTTTCCCCCATGAGAGAGAGCTTTGTAGGGCCATTTTGGAATATGTCAAAGAAATATATTTTGGGGTAAAATAATTTCCTTCAGGGCCTGTTATCTGTCATGTGGTACTCTACTGGAGTCACTTTGGTATCTTACTGCTACAAAGACTCTGCTTTGTCAGTCTTAAGATCCCTGTTTTAATGTTAACACTGGTCGGTTGTATGTCAACTCTTAAGGGAGGAGGGTGAAATGAGGCCAGTGGAACCTGTCCCTTCCCATTGTAGCAGCAACGTTGTCTGGGGTAAATACCCAAGATTCGTCATCTCATGCCAAGGAAATCAAGGATGTGGACACATAACAAGTGAGCTTAAGAGAAGAGGTTTAATAGAGAGAAAGAGAAAAACTCTCTTCCTGCAGAGAGAGAGGGTCTTCCAAGTGGGTCGTCTCATCTGTGGCGAAATGCACAGAGTTTTATAGACAAGCTTGGGGAGGCGGTGTCTGATTTACATAGGGCCCAGAAGACTGGTCAGACCAGGTGTGCCATTTACATAGTACACAAAGAGGCTGGCCATCCCACCCTAATCTGTTGTTATGCAGATGGGGTTTCTACCTGGGCAGCGCCATGTTGCCTGCCTTTCTACTGCACATGTGGCGACAAAGAAAAGGGAGGAGGGAACCTCCATGTTGAATATACCTGGCTTCCAAGTATCCCTTTTCTATTGGCATAGCTGCTGGCATTTGCCTATGCAAGCTTGTGTTTGCAGCTTGATTTTTCAGGCTGCTTTTTGTTAAAAGGGAAACCTTACCGAGGATTCTCATACCCTCACTAACTGCCTAAATAATTTCTTTTTAGCTACCTCATCACCATCATGGCCTAAACTAGTTTTTCACATTTCTTCGGGGTTCCCTTGGCCAAGATGGGGGTTCCATGTAGTCGTTTGCGGGGGGGTGCTTAGAATTGTATTTTTTGGTTTACTATCTAATGCTGACCACTCTATTTTCATTAAACTGACAAACTTTAACCAAAGATTATCCTAGAACACATAAACTTGGAAGGTATTTTGGATTCATTTTTTTCCTAAGAGTTTAAGGAGTACTTAATTTATATAAGCGCTTAAGCCAATTAAATAAAGCTCTTTTATAACTTAATTTTGGTAATACCATCTGAAGATAGAAAAAAATCACACATACGTACCTACAGAGAGAAATAAACATAAAGACAGAGCCCTCTGTTGTAGGTTTCATTTTAAAATTTAGGCATGTACTGAAATGGCGTCATTCATCTGCGGTAATACCCCACGTTCTTTGCCTCACACCAAGGAGATCAAGGACGAGGACACACAAGGAGTGAGTTTAAGAGCCAAGGTTGAATAGGCGAGAGAAAGAGAAAAGCTCTCTCTCCTTTGGAGAGAGGGGGGCTCCCAAGTGGGTCATCTGATTCTGTGGTGAAATGCATGGGGTTTTATAGAAGAGCTTGAGGAGGCAGTGTCTGATTTACACAGGGGACAAAAGATTGGTAGGACCAGGTGTGCCACTTGCATAGCAGGTGAAGAAGCTGGCCACCCCACCCTAATCTTTTATTATGCAGATGGGGTCTCTACCTGGCCGGTGCCATGTTGCCTGCTTCATTACTGTACATGTGGTTGACAAAGAAAAGGGAAGATAGGGCGTCCATGTTGAACATGACTCACCCCCAGGTAGCCTCTTCCTATTGGCACAGCTGCCAGCATTCACCCGTGCAAGCTTCCAGCTTGCTTTTCTATGTCTGTAGCTTCATTTTGCAGACTGTTCTTTCTTAGAAAAGAAATGACTTTGGAGCTGCTTTTTATTAAAAGGGAAACTTTGCCGACGACTTTTACCCTCACCAACTGCCTAAATTTCTTTTTAGCTCCTGTATCAGTACCAGATACAAAACCCACAAAATTTACTACTTTACAGAATAGCTGAATTCCAATTATGTTTCTGGCAGATGGAAGAAGTTAAGATTACTTGCTCTGGTAGCAAAGCTTTTTAGTAATATTTGTGGAAAAGACAAGAATTTTCATTTGCCCAAATGTCATTTTTCTTCTGATGAGTCATCTCCCTTAAAATTTCCATGTCAAAGGGCTAGCTGTAAGGTTCTAGAGAAAACAAGAGAGAAAATGGACATCTCAAAGGCATAGAGCATAGACTTCTGGCTTAATTACTATCATTTACCTAAAGAAAGAAAGAAGGGTATAGGTAAAGGCCCATTTAAGAAGATGGTCAGGAAAACCGCCTTCAACAAAGGTAAGACTTTTGAAGTAGATGATTCAAGGCCGTCTCCATTCTTTAGTTACTTAGTCCTCCTCCTATTCCTGGTGCAGAGAGGAAGGCACTCTTACAAATGGAGATCTCCTTCCTTAATAGATGGAATTTTCTATTACAAAGGGGTCTCAAAATAACCAGCTAGAAATAATCCTTATGCCAAAGCGGCATATTTTGGAGACTAACTTGGCTAGATCAGTGGTTTCCCAACCCAGTTTGTTTTTATACTAAGTTATGTAGGAACTCAACCTCAGACTCATGGGCTCCTGTAATTTAGTATGTCTTAGCTTCCCTTCAGCATCTGGTGCAGTCATCTTAATCTTTTCTTGGTCACAGACTCCTCTGAGAGTCTGGTGATGAATCCTCTCCCAGATAAGTACATTAATATACATGCAACATTTGTATTCAGTGCCAAGATGTGCACATAGCCCTCTGAAGCCCACCTGTTACCAGAAAGGGGTCCTGATCCAGACCCCAAGAGAGGGTTCTTGGATCTTCTGCAAGAAAGAATTCAAGGCGAGGCCATGGAGTAAAATGAAAGAAAGTACAAGAATAAAAGAATGGCTTCTCCATAGACAGAGCAGCCCTGGGAGCTGCTGGTTGCCCATTTTTATGGTTACTTCTTTGTAATATGCTAAACAAGGGGTGGATTACTTATGCCTCCCCTTTTTAGACAATATACAGTAACTTCCTGATGTGGCCTTGGCATTTCTAAACTGTCATGGCACTGGTGGGAGTGTAGCAGTGAGGACCACCAGAGGACACTCTCGTCACCACGTTGGTTTTAGCCGCTTGTTTACTGCAACCTGTTTTATCAGCAAAGTCTTTATGACCTTTATCTTGGGCTGACCTCGTATCTCATCCTGTGACTTAGAATGCCTGAATTGTCTGGGAATGCAGCCCAGTAGGTCTCAGCCTTATATTACCCAGCCTCTACACAAAATGGAGTCGCTCTGGTTCATACATGTCTGACCACACCCACAGAGTATCACAAGTGCAAAGATCAGCAATTCCTACTCAGGGATCTAAATTCAGTGCCTCCCTTTCCTGTCCCTGGACAGTGCTGGGTAAGCCTTGTCAAGTCCACAGATCCCCTTCCCAGCATCTTGTCAGGTTCTTCCCTGTTGATCAGTTTTCTTCTGCAGAACTTGGAACATGGAGGGTTAGGCTATAGGCTCTTTCTCACTTAATTCTGCCTCATTTAAATTTATGTGCAGAAGGCAAGGGAGAAGGGTAAATTGCCTACCTCTTACGTATGATTGACTTATTACTTAGCTTCTTGCTCGGTACCACCAGTATAGGAAGTAAATACGATTATTCTGTAAGGTAAGGCTCTACAAGGTTATGATTGGACAGTCATGGAACTAATTAGTGGTTAAGATTCAAACTTGGGTATCTGACCCCGGATCCTATCTTATTTCTACTATACTTCAGGCCTCCCTGATTTTCTTCCTTTGACTAGGGAACCACCCTAACCCTTAAGGTGACTTCTGTAGACATCTAAGCTCATCCATTCCTAATATAACTCTCAAGAGGCCATAGACTTTGAGGTTCTTGCTGATCTTTTCATTGTATTCTCTTGTGCACCAATAATATACTTGAAATGTCAGCCACCATGCCAACATCTCACTTCCCAACTATAAAATCACATTCCCAGGAAAAACAGTAAACTGGAGTTTGGTTCAGGGAAAAAAAAAAAAAAAAAAAACAATTTCAATGATTCTTTCTCCAGATGCCTTCTTTTTCTTTTTGGGTTGTTGCTTCTGTAACTGAAATAGTCTGATATATTTTAAGCTGTTTTCTTTTCTATGTAAAAACATCCACCAATGGGGTTCTGCACTTTCTCAGAAAAAAAACAGTATGTTTTTAGACATTTAGGTCAGATATATTAACACAGAAGTGGAATTAGAATGGGTTAAGGCCCTAGAATGGGCATTTAATCCATCTTGACCAGGTCAATGCTATTTTTAAAGGCCTCCGACCTTTGAACTATTCCCATAGCTAACAATCTTGAAATTCAGAAAATTCTTAGAATTAGCCAAGTGAATTAGCAAAATGGTTGAAATTTTTATTAAATCATTGGCTGTAAGAAGAGGGTTTTGTTGTCGTTGTTGTTGTTACTCTGACTCTTAAAGAGATTGGCCAGGCCTTGATTTCATTACCCTTTTGGGTAATTACTACTATTTGATCAGAATATGTCATATCAAGCAATTTTTCTGCATAATCCCCATGTGAGGTTGGCCTTCCCAGGGTATCTCATCTGGACAGAATTGATCCGCTTTCCCAGGGTATCTCATCTGGACAGAATTGATCCGCTCCTACCATCTGTTGAATACTACCAACATTTATTTTCTTGAGACAGCATCTGGCTCTGTCACTCAGGCCAGAGTGCAGTGCCACGATCATCCCCCCTCAGCCTCCCAAGTAGCTGGGACTACAGGTGCATGCCACTATGCCTAGCTAATTTTTGTATTTTCAGTAGAGATGGGTTTGTACCATGTTGCCCAGGATGGTCTCAAACTCTTGAGATCTGCCTGCCTTGGCTTCCCAAAGTGCCGGGACTACAGGCGTGAGCCACTGCACCCAGCCTCTACTAACAGTTATTATAAAATATAAAGAAAGATTTCTTCTCGTGCAGCTTAAAAGCTTCAGGTCTGATGGACTGGACAGAAGTTGGAACACGGGAGTAGGAATTTACCTTACTCAGAAGGACACCTTGTCCACTGGCCTGGAAACACTAGATTTATAAAGTAGGAAGCAAGGTCATTGATAAGGGCGAATGCGGAAGTGATAGGAAAGCGTTAAAGGCTAAAAGTCACTGTTGTAAAGACTGGGAAAGAGAGCTGACTTGAGGCACGTAAAGGCTGGGCAGAATTGAGGCTGGAGATTCTGAATTTGTAGTGGATGCAGCCAACCTCTCAGAGATAGGAGGAGAGAAGATAGTGGAGCTAGAGTTAGATCTGGGGTTGGCATATTTATTGTGTGTGTTTATTTAAAAGACAAGAAGGCAAGGGGATTGGGGCTATGGACCAGAACGCAGGTGAGGTTATGGATCCTTGATTCATTCACCCATGATACAAATGTCTATTAAGCAGGCATTATATAGGAGACAGTGTGGCTGGATAGGGAAGGAGGCACAAGACAGGAGTAAATAGTTACAATAGTTACTTTTGGAGGGAAAAAGAGGGTGGGAGGAGTTCAAGGAACCAAAGAAGTGAAGGCACGAGCAATCAGAAAGGATAGTAATGGAAGCCAGTGCATAAATAGCTCTGTGTGCCAAGCAGTGTTCTGTATTTTGCACATTAACTCAACTCTCTGGGATAGGACTACTGTTATTCACATCTTATAAGCATGGAATGATTGAGTAACTTGTCTATGGTCTCCTAGCTAGTACATGGCAAAGCTGGGATTCGTACCCAGGCATCAAAGCCAAAGTTTTTCACGCTATACTGCACTGCCTCTAGAAGGTTGTGGTCCAAAGGGGAAATAGTTCCAGCTGATGACGTAGCAGTGGGGATAGCCACAGGAGAAAGTAGCTGAAGCCAAGTGTGGCAGCCAGTGCTGGATGCATTATCCATGTGGTTACTGATGTCATTGCTACAATGACAAGAGGACTGGGGGCTAAAAGTATTGAACGTGTGGACTGGTGATCAGAAAGCCAGCAGTGACCAAATGAAGAGGTATAGATGGTGATACAGTTAGATGGCTTGAGTTCAAAAGCTGAAGCATTCCTCTCTGTGGGTGGAGGTTAGTTTGGAAATACCATTGTTCAGGGAGGAAAATGCTAACCCCTCCTTCCAACCCTAAAGGCTGAGGGACAAGGAAGCTGTGTCTTTGGGAAGGAGCCAGGTTTCAATGAAGCAGGCAGATGGAGAGAATTCCATGTGGGTTGAAGATGTTTGAGGACTTCTTTTCTATACTGCAGAGTTCCAGGGATTTTGGAGGATGCTGGGTTGAAGGCATAAGAATGAACACAGAAAATTGGATAAGGGCCACGGGATGGAAGACCAAAGGGACCAAAATCTTGGGTGATGACTGAGACACAGGGAGACTGCCTCCGAGTTTCCATGGGGTGCCAAATAATGGCTTAATGATGGCAGACACTGGAGAAGTACTCTTGTAAGGGGACCGTAGTGGCCTCCCATCTGAGCCAGGACAATGAACATGTTTTCCACAAGACATCAGCTTTCTCTTAGCCATGCCTGCAAGCTATGAATGAGCTTATTCTGAGTCACACATACTGTCCCTATGGAACAAGGGTTTTTAAACTTTTCTGTGCCATAGAGCTCTTTCATAATCTGAGGAAGCTTATGGGCTCTTTTTCAGAATATTTTTCAATCCCAACATTTTGGGAGGCTGAGATGGGAGGATCAATTGAGCCCAGGAGGTCGAGGCTGCAGTGAGCTATGATCACGCCCCTGCCCTCCAGCTTGGGTGACAGAGTTGAGACCCTGTCTTAGAAAAAAGCAAAAAACACAGTACATTGAGATAGAACGTGACATGATGATATCTGATGTCTTCTGGTGACAACATCTCAGGTACTGCTAGTACTATGGTGGCTTGATAACCGCACACATACTAAAAGGAAATGCTCTACGTAGGAAATGAGTGAAAATAAATAGGTAGAGACCACCAGTTTCCAGTGCAGCCTGTAAGGGGCTGAGAAGTCACAAGCTCCTCTTAGATCAGTCAAACGGGAAAATACAGGGTCACAACTTACCCGAGCAAAAACGCCTGTGGGAACCAGTATCAGGGTAGGAAAGGCGGAACTGTAACTGATGAACTGTGGGATGCTCAGAGTGAATGAGTCTGAGGGTAAAAAAAAAAAAGTCCACAGGGACCCAGCCATTGGCCGGCCCCCAGGCTTAGGCTTTTGTGAGTTTTACCTCTAGAAGCTCTACCAGGTCCTACAAGTAACTGTCAGATACAGGTCCCCTTGTGCTGCCAGGAAGAGGGAAACGGAACCATTTTGACATATGCCTTAGCCTTGTGTTTTTTATTTCTTTAGTTAGTTGAGACAGGATCTCACTAGGTCACCCAGGCTGGAGTGCAGTGGTTACTGACAGGTGTAATCACAACTCACTGTAGCCTCGAACTCCTGGGCTCATGCCATCCTCCTACCTCAGCCTCTTGAGTAGCTGGGACTATAGGTGTGTGCCACCATATCTGGCTAATAGTTTCTAAAATTTTTTTGCACAGATGGGGGCCTCAGCATCTGCCTAAAAGATTCTCCTGCCTTGGCTTCTCCCAAAGCACTGGGATTACAGGCGTAAGCCTCTGTGCTTGGTCTTAGGAGACCTTAGGAGGAACTGTTCAACCAGAATCTAACCTGCTGGAGTGAAATGCCAAAAACCTATACCTAGGCATATCATGTTCAAACTTCAGAAAATCAAAGATAAAATATTGAAAGTGGCCGGGCACAGTGGCTCAGTACCCTGTAATCCCAGCACTTTGGGAGGCTGAAGTGGGAGGATCACCCAAGCCCAGGGAGGTCAAGGCTGCAGTGAGCCATGATCACACCCACTGCACTCCAGCCTGGGCAACAGAGTGAGATCCTGTCTCAAAAAGAGAAAAAAAATTCTTGAAAGAAAACAGCTTACATATACAGGCAAAAATATAAGAAGTGTATCCAACTTCTCAGACACCATGCAAGCAAGAATAGAGGAGAAAAAAATATTTAAAGTGCTGAGAGAAAAAAACAACCCTACAATTCTGTACACTGTGAAATTATCCTTCAAAAGTGATGGAGAAATAAACAAAAACTGAGATTACCGTCGGACCGTAAACCTGCATTGCAAGAAATGTTTAAAGAAGTTGTTCAGAGAGGGGAAAATTGATATAGGTCAGAAACTTGGATCTACATACAAAAATGGGCATCTGAGAATGAGTAAGTCAAGATACAATGTCTGTCATCTTCATTGATCTGACAGATAAGTTTGTTCAAAAGAATAGCAACAATGTATTCACTTTTGTAAAAGTAGATGCTTAGAAAGTGAATCACAGCAATGATATAAGGGACAGCAGGGGAATTAGGAACGTCTTGTTATTATAAGGTACTTGTACCACCTGTGAAGCAGTGTAGTGTTACTTGAAAGTGTACTTGGGTTGGCCGGGCGCACTGGCTCACGCCTGCAGTCCCAGATACTCTAGAGGTTGAGGCAGGAGAATGGCGTGAACCTGCGAGGCGGAGCTTGCAGTGAGCCGAGATCACGCCACTGCACTCCAGCCTCGGCAACAGAGCAAGACTCCGTCTCAAAAAAAAAAAAAAATGTACTTGGATTGGTTGTATGTGTATACTGTAAACTCTAGGACAACCAATAAAAAAGAGTTGAAGTTATAATTGATATGCTAAGAAAGAGAAAATGAAATAATATAAAATGCTCAATTAAAACCACAGGAGGAAGTAAAAAATAGGAATAGAGAACCAGGGTAATGAATAGAAAACAGTAACCGATATGAAATACTAATACAACTATACCAATAGTCACTTTGAAATTTCAGTCGTCTAAATGTACCAATTAAAAGATAGATTGCCATAATGGATCAAAAAACAAGGCCTGGCATAGTGGTTCATGCCTGTAGTCCCAGCTACTTGGGAGGCTGAGACAGGAGAATCACTTGGACCCAGGAGATGGAGGTTGCAGTGAGCTGAAATTGTGCCACTGCACTCCAGCCTGGGTGACAGAGCAAAATTCTGTCTCAAACAAACAAGACCCAAATATCTGTTGTCTATAAAAAGCTCACTTTAATATAAAGACAAAGGCAGGCATGGTGGCTCACACCTATAATCCCAACACTTTGGAAGGCTGATGTGGGAGGATTGCTTGAGACCAGCAAGGGCAACATAGCAAGACCCTATCTCTTAAAAAAAAAAAGCCAGGTTTGGTAGTGCACATCCGTAGTCCCAGCTACTCAGGAGGACTGCTTGAGCCTAGGAGTTTGTTACGTAATGGTACAGTGAGTCATGATTGCACCAATGGACTCCAGTGTGGGTAACATAATAAGATAAGACTGGGCATGGTGGTTCATGCCTGTAATCCAAACACTGTGGGAGGCCGAGGTAGGAAGATTGAGCCTAGGAGTTTGATACCAGCCTGGGCAACAGAGCAAGGCCCTGTCTCAAATAGATAAAGGGACGCAGAAAGCCATACCATGTCAACACTAATCAAAAGCAAACAGGAGTAGCTATATTAATTTTAGAGCAGACTTCAGAGCAAGAAAAGGTATCAGATATAAAGAGGGCCATTATGTAATAATGGGGTTACTACTCCAAGAAGGCATAATGATTCTTAATGTTATGTGCCTAGCAACAGATCATCAAAATATGAGGCAAAAACTGATAGAACTGCAAGGAAAAATAGATGAGTTTACTATCATAGTTGGAGACATCAAAACCCCTCTATCAGTAATTCACAGATCCAGTAGACAGAAAATCAGTAAGACATACTTGAACCCAAAAGCACCATCAGTCAACTGGATGTAATTGCCACTTACATACTCCTTCATCCACCAACAGCAGGCCACATATTCTTCTCAAGCTCACATGTAACATTTACCAAGATAGATCACATTCTGGGTCATAAAACATACCTTAAAAAATCAAAAAGAATAGAGATCATATAATATCTGCTCTCAGACAACAATGGAAAGACGACAATGGAATTAAACTAGAAATCAATAACAGATATATCTGAAAAGTCCCAGATACTTGGAGACTGTACAAGACATTTCCAAGTAACACACAGGTCAAGGAAGAAATGAAGAAAAATTTCGAAATATTTTCAGTTAAAGGAAAATGAAGATATAACTTACCAATTTGTGGGATGTAGTGAAAATAAAGCTTAACAGAAAATTTTATAGCATGAAATGCATATATTAGGAAAGAAGAAAGATCTAATATCAGTGGCCTGAACTTCCACTTTTGGAAACTACAACAAAAAGAGCAAATTAAATTTAAAGTAAGCAAAAGAAAAGTAATAATAAAAATTAGAGAAGAAATCAATGAAAGTGAAAACAGAAAATAATCAAAAGAGCTGATTCTTTGAAAAGATAAATAAAATCAATAAACCTCTATCCAGGTTAATTATAGGAAAAAAGACATGTTATTTACTATCAAATATGAAAGAGGGGCCATCACTACAGATCCCATGGACATTTAAAGGATAATAAAAGAATATTATGGCCGGGCACAGTGGCTCACACCTGTAATCCCAGGACTTTGGGAGGCCGAGTCGGGCGGATCACTTGAGGCTGGGACTGTGAGACCAGCCTGGCTAACATGATGAAACCCCATCTCTACTAAAAACACAAAATATTATCCTGGCGTGGTTGTGCATGTCTGTAAGCCAGCTGCTTTGGTGGCTGAGGCACAAGACTCTCTTGAACCCAGAAGGCAGAGGGTGCAGTGAGCCAAAATCATGCCACTGCACTGGGTCGCTCTGGGCAACAGAGCAAGACTCTGTCTCAAAAAAAAAAAAAATAAAGGGAATATTATCAACAACTCTATGCCCACCAATCTGATAACCTCAACAAAATGGACCAATTCTTTAAAAGGCACAATTTGTTAAAATTCATGTAAAAAGAAAGAGAATCTGAATAGACCTATAATCTATTAAATAAATTGAATCAGTAATTAAAACCTTCCAGACTCAAAGCACCAAGCCCAGATGGATTCACTGGTAAATGCTACTGAACACGTAAGAAAGAAATTGTACCAGCTCCCTACAATTCCTAGAAGGTAGAAGTAGAGGGAATCTCTCCTAACTCATTCTACAAGCCAGCACTCCCCTACTACCTAAACCAGACAAAGACATTACAAGAAAACAATAGACCCATATCTCATGAACCAAGATGAAAAAAAATCAACATGATGCTGTTTGCAAATCAAATCCAACAGTATATAAAAAGAATGATGCCTCATGGCCAAGGGATATTTAAACTGGGTATGCAAAGCTGGTTCAACATCCAAAAATCAATTAATGCAATTCATCATGACAAGCTAGAGAAGAAAAATCACATGATCATATCAATAGATGGAGAAAAAGCATTTAGCAAAATCTAAAACCTGTTAATGAGAAAACTATCAGCAAACTCGGAGTAGAGGGGAACTGTCTCAACTTCATAAAGAACATCTACAAAAAAACTAAAGCTAACATTATAATTAATAGTGAGAAGCCCAAAGCTTTCCCGCTAAGATCAGGAACAAGGCAAGGATGTCCTCTGTCAGAACTGCTTTTCAACATCATATTGGAAGTTCTATTGTAGCTAATACAAGACAAGAAAAAAAAATCAAAGGTATACAGATTGAGGAGGACGACATAAAACATTGTAGATAACATGGTTGGTTATGTAGAAAATTCCCCCAAATAGCAAAAGACTCCTGGCACTAATAAGCAATTGTAGCAAGATTACATGCATACACAGGTAACAGACAAAAGTCAATTGCTTTCCTATGGATGGTCTCCAACTTATGGTGTGAAACAATACACATTCAGTAGAAACCATACTCCAATATTCAATAAATTATGTGAGATAGTCTATACTTTTTAATAAAATAGGCTTTGTGTTAGATTATTTTGTCCAACTGTAGACCAGTGTAAGTGTTCTGAACACATTTAAGGTAAGCTATGATGTTCAATATGTTAGATGTATTAAATGCATTTTTTACTTACGTCCTGATAAACCCATCATAGGTCAAGAAACATTACTTACAAGGAACAATTTGAATTTGAAATTAAAAACACATTATCATTTATACTAGGCACCTCCCCAGAATGAAATATTTAAGAATAATCTAACAATATTTACAAGATCTACATGAGGAAAACTACAAAACTCTGAAGAAAGATATTAAAGAACTAAACAAATGGAGATTTGTTTATGGATAGGAAGACTCAATAGTGTCAGGACATCCATAGGAGGGGAGGTTGCACATATGTGGGAACAGGAGGTACAAGAGAAATCTACATTTTCCATTCAGCTTTGCTGTGAACATAAAACTGTTTTTTATATATAAAAAATGTAATATTTTCCCACCCAAATACACAAATCCTCTGAGTTTTACTTACAGGTCCTTTGGGTAGTGGAGACCCCAGATTCAGAGCCCCTGCATGGAAGAAACACACAGGACCTAATTCTTGAAATGTGGACAGTTTAGGATCTCTGGCTATCCTGGCTGTATGTACCACAGTTCTGTTATAGAAAACAGTAATGAGTCTACATATTTTAAGCAGAAAATATTAGAGAGGTTTGGTCAGACAAACTTGTCAGAAGGGCAACAGGAAGAAAACTTTAGGTGACCTGCAGGAATGACTCTCAGAACACCACTGATTTAGCCCTTCAGGGTAGCCACGGCCTCTGCCAAAAGCAGCTATAGAAAAACCAAATGCTTCTACAACAGAGGAGGAATAGCTGGTGCAGCAGAAACCTGGCTTCCACTTGCACCTTTCAGATCTTCAGCATCTGATGGATGGACTCTAAATTCATTCAGAAGGGTCAATACAAGGAAGTTTGGGAAACGTAGTTTTTAGCTTTCCAGGCTCTGTTGTAGAGGAAGTAACCCCAGAAGAAGGTTGAATCCCATTCCACCCCATCTGCTGTACATTGTAAATAGTTAATTAGAAATTAAAACAGTGTATTGCTGCATGTTGAGTGGACACCATTCCTAAAGTCTTATGAATACGGCAGACTTGTCAGAGCTTTAATTTTTTTTTTTTTTTTTTTTTTTTTTGACAGAGTCTTGCTCTGTGGCCCAGGCTGGAGTGCAGTGGCATGATCTCAGCTCGCTGTAACCTCCGCCTCCTGGGTTCAAGTGATTGTCCTGCTTTAGCCTCCCAGGTAGCTGGGATTACAGCCGCAGGCCACCATGTCCAGCTAATTTTTGTATTTTTAGTAGACACGGGGTTTCGCCATGTTGGCCAGGCTGGTCTGGAAGTCCTGACCTCAGGTGATCCTCCCGTCTCGGCCTCCCAAAGTGCTGGGATTACAGGTGTGAGCCACTACACCCGGCCAAGTAAATTTGCGACCATCACTGTGAAAAGTGAAGTTTGGACCAGAGCCTGGGACAGACATCTCCAAAGCCCCTCCTGTGCTCTATGCTCCAGGTACCCTAGAATGGGGCTTCTTGACCTCGGCACTGTTATGTTTGGGAGTGGGTGATTCTTTGTTGTGGGAGACTATCCAATCCATTGTGGGATGGTTAGTAGCATCTTTGGTCTCTGCCCACTGACCCAGGAGCATAGTCCCCCAACTCATCACAATGAAAGGTATTTCCGAACACTGCCAACTGTCCCCAGGGCAATGACATTGCCACCGGTTGAGAATCAGTGCTCTAGAATGTGGTATCAGCTGTTAACCCAATGGAAGCAGCCACTATTTGCTAGCACAGTTGTCAATTGCACAAAGAAGACTATTGTGCCCCATGTTTCCAAATGACATCCCGTGTTCTTAAGTCATGTAAACCTCTTAGTAATAACATGGAGAAACATTTGTAAATCAAGGGGAACTCTTATTCCAAGCATGGGAAAAGAATGTTTTCCATTGTTCAGAATGAGTCAACAGAAATTAGGTGACACTTTCCCTCAAAATAATATCTGATTATATTCATCACTCTATTAAATGTCTGCCAAATGCTTTTGTGACACGTTTTTGAGGGCACAATGCAAAACCAAATAGAAAAGAAATGTAAAAATATTACATCATTTCCTAGAGAAACTGTACAACGTATTGTCCTGGACAGCTTTTGAAAAAGATTAGAAACCTATTTGATGAAAATAATTTGGCTGAAATTGTGCCTAGACCATGAGCTGGAGGACATTGGGACCTTCTGCTTCAACTCTGCAATTATGGAAGACAGAGGAAATCCCCAACTAGCATTTCCCATTATCATATATAGATGCCTGAACTGCAATTTTATTTTAAAATACAACTATTAATCTACTCATAAAAAAATTTCAATGGCCAGATCAAAAACAGAAATTTTTTTCTAGTTCTAGCTCTTCTCTGATTGTGCCTTCTGTTATATTAATAGTACTTTACCCTCTCCCACTTCAATTTCTTAGCTTGCTTTGGTACAGCATTTTACCATTTTCAAACACCTCTCATTTACATGTGTTTGATCATCCCCCCGCCCCATTGCATTAAACTACCATCATAGCTCCCTTTTAAAACAGTCTCAAGAGGTAATGACCAGCTTAGAATCAAATGGTGTTAAATTGTCTTCAATGGGCTCGGCTTTGGGGCCTGTTGGACCTGCTGGACCCATGTGGAAGGGCCTGGGGAGGCAGGGAAGGTGAGGGGGTCACTGGAGAGGCCAGTGGCATGTGGTAGAGAGTGAGAAAGATAATCTGTGGCAGAGGGGGGCAGAGTGAGCTCCATTCCCTGTGGACTCTAACCCATATCTGGGTTTGCAGGGTGTTGTCTATCAAAAGGAGGAATTGCCCTTCACAGGGAGAGTGTTAGAGCCACTGAGGCAGAGGTAGCCATCTCGCTAAGTGCTCACAAGCTGCTTCTGTGAAAGGCCCTCATCAGAGTCCCTGCAGACCCTGAGAGAATGCAGCCCTGGCACCTTGTTTTGGTGACTTAAAGACAAGGCAGAGGTTCTAACATGACAGGGCACAAAAATAAAACTCAGAGGAAGGTGGGGTCTATTCTGTTCTTTTTTTTTTTTTTTTTTTTTGAGATGGAATCTCACTTTGTCACCCAGGCTGGAGTGCAGTGGCACGATCTCGGCTCACTGCGACCTCCACCCCCTGGGTTCAAGCAATTATCCTGCCTTAGCCTCCCAAGTAGCTGGGATTACAGGTGCCTGCCATCGCGCCCAGCTAATTTTTGTATTTTTAGTAGAGGAGGGGTTTCACCATCTTGGCCAGGATGGTCTTGAACTCCTGACCTCATGATCCACCCACCTAGGCCTCCCAAAGTGCTGGGATTACAGGCATGAGCCATCTGCTGAACTTTCAATTAATCCTTCAGTCTGGTGATCCCAGTTGCCCAGACCCTTACCTCCAGGTGAAGTCAACCAGGTGCCTCCAAAGCTTGCTCTTTCCTCCCCTGGGTATGTGTCAGAGGGACAGACACCTTTTTCAATGGTGATCCTGTGACGGAGACCTGAGCGTCTTTGGAGAGATGCTGGAACAGGAGAACGATGCTTCACAATTGCTGCTCCAGGGATGGAACTGTGGTCCAAGAACAGATACTTCACACTCCACCCTACCCCACCAGGGGCTTCTGTGTGCAAAATCACTTCCTACAGGGAGGCAATGTGGGCAGGCTGGGAGGTCGGTTGACTTGGATGATTGTTACGACTTAGCCAATGGTATTAAATATACACGTCTAACAGGAGTCCCAGAAGAAGGTTACTGAGATGATCAGACCTGTCTTGTTGAAGAGACAACTCTGGAGGCTAAGTGCAGCCCTGCCAAGAGAATAAGAAAATGGATCACTGATCATGAGCTGGTATTGGTTCACTTCTTCAACTGCTGATGTAGCCTATTGAGGATGTTAAGTATTGTAATTCCTAAAACGGTTGGAGGGAAATTTAACAGAAAACTACTGGGAAAAAGAAATCATCTCATGCTTTCTCTTTCCTTTTGTTGCATTTTTTATTGTATTCTTCTCTCTTGTGCCTGGGGCTTTTTGAACCTTTTCTTCCCAAGATACTGGCTTTCCAAGCTTAACAGAAAATAAAATTTGAATCTGGTGTGGACAAGAGTTGGAGGGAAATGGTTCCCTGTAGTACTGGCTGACTAACCTCAGATGCCTTGAGCCACAGTTGGTATAGTCACCTCTTCTAAACTCTGGGTCTGTCTACATTTTTATTTGAACAGCATTGCTTTGCCATTTCCTTGGCTGTGTTGTAACACGCTGAGGCCCTGGGTGTGCACACCTGCATTCCCTGACAACTCCCAGATGCCCCAGCATGCCTTGAGGTTAGAAGAAAATTAGATAATTACTTAAGACTTGGCAATGTTCATCTGTTACCCAGGGGGCCTCTGAAGTCCTTTCTCCATTGCAATTCCATTTCTGGACTGTGTATGTAGTTTGAGATTGATAGAATTTATACATCTTGTTAGTACTTTTCAAATGTAGACTGAATTTCACTTGCAATTGAATTGAAAAAAGTTCCTGCTCCAGATGATTCTAATGGATTCATGGACTTCTAATATGGTTCAAATTAACCCCAATAGGTTCAGTGTATTTGTCGGGAAATGAGATGCAATCCCTTTAGCGTGTTTTGGGACAAAGTGTGTATTAGAGAATTCACTCCTAAGCGTCTACATTATTGCTTTTTATTTTCATATTGGTCATTATCATTTCTAGAAGAGATGTTTAGTCAAAAGAAAGGTTTTTTTTTGCCATTTGTAGCATAAATGAACCAGTTTCTCATAAGAAATCAGTGGCTTTACAAAAACAACAAAAAATATTGTAAAAGAGACTAGAGCTTTAGCAATCAGTGTAATATATGGGCCTTATATTAATCATGATGTAAACAAACTAAATATAAAAAAGAAATCTGTGAGGCAGTTGTACTGAGTATTAGCTAGTATTGAGCAATTGTTAATTTTAAGTGTGGTAATGGTATGATGGTTATGCTTTTACAAATGTTATCAGCTAGAGATGTGTGCTAAAGTATTTACAGGTGGTATCTGACATGTCCTTAAAAATGCTATAGCAAAAAGTAGTTGGGGAAGGGCCAGCAGATAGATGAAATGAGAGGCGGAAGTGCTAGAATTCTTGTAGTAGTGGTGAGGCTACATGGAGGCTCACTATACTCATCTCTCTACTTTTATGTGTGTTCGGAAATTTCCATTTTAAAAATAATTTCTTTTTGGCAGGGGAGATGGAAAACAGGAACTGGTAAATATCACGTTGGCTGATATCAGGATCTTGGGGCCTCTTTCTTGGTTGCTAATATACTACTCTAAAAATGTTAACATCCCTTTTTTTCCAAAATGGAAATTGTTTTGGAGTAATAACTATATTTTATTCATCTTTCTAGTGCTAAATAAATGCTCTGAGTTTATGTATTTTTTGTTTTTAGGGGTATACACATTTATGATTATAATGTCTTTATGAGTTGACCTCCAATGAAATATCCTGTTATCTCTAGTAATACTTAATGTTGTTCTGAAGTCTACTTTGCCTGATATCAATATAGCCCTACAAGCTTTCTTATGCTTAGTGTTTGCATGATATACCTATATAACTTTTTCTGTCCTTTTGCTTTCAACCTATTTGTGCCTGTATATGTAAACAGCATGTTGTTGGGTCTTGCTTTAATCTCTGTACACTTATTAGTGTTTAGTCCATTTATATTTAGTTGTTTAGTCTACCATCTTAATATTTTGTATTTGTCCCATCTCTTAATTGACCTTTTTTCCTGCCCAATAGAACAACAGGATACACAGCAAGGAAAGCAAGCCCTCTCCATAAGGACAGATGTAGAAATCTAGGAAATGCCATTCTTTGTGCTCCCTGGGGCACAAATCTAATACATCATAAATAAGGCACTCTAGAGTGGGCACCATGCCAGCCCTGACTGTTTGTCTCTGGCCCTCATAGCTAAGGCCCCTATTGCCTGCCATGCTTAAGTTCAGCTCAACCAGTTCTTGGCCTATATGAGGAATATATAATTGGGTTATGTCAGTTTCTTAAGCTGAGTTGATGATCACAAGCAGTTACACACAACTCAGTCCATGGAGTACAAACCAGCCTTTTATCACTAAATCCCAGCTGTCTTCACACTCCACCTGTGTCCTCCAGCATCCTCCATGGATCCTTTGGTTTCTGCTCCTGACTATCCACTTGTTTTCACTCTTCCCAGTATTCCAGTCCCTACCCAGGACTGAGCACTGTCCTGCGCTCCTGCCAGCTGGGTCAGCAGGCAGCCAGCAGTCCCTCTGCTCCTACCCAGCCTCTGCTCTTGGGCATAGCATCTCAAGTACCCAACTGCCCCTACAAATTCTGCCTTTGTGGCCCAATAAAGCCTCCCAGGGCCTGTGCCAAACCCCAGCTTTTGTTCTGCCTGTTCTTTTCTGCCTCATACATAAAGTTTGAGCTATAACAATCCCAGTCAGATCATCCCTTAAGCACAGGGTTCAGCCCTGGGTATCACAATAGGATGAATTGAGAATTTCATGAGATGTGGAGTTAGATGTTTTGGGGAAAATGTAATGTGAGAAATGATCCAGGGATGACTACATGGGGACGGAGGACTTAGAGAAGATACAATGGCTGTGTGCACACCTTTGGCATGCCACCTTGGAAAAGAAGAGAAGAGTTTATTCTGTGTGACTCCAGAGGCAAGAGTTAAGACCATGTATGTTATATTTTAAGATACACAGAGGGTTTACCTTTGGGATAGGCAGTTGTGCATTTTTTAAAAGTGGCTTGGATGCTAGGCAGGGTCAGAGTGTCTCGCCACAGGGGCATTCAGGCAGACTGGCCGCTTGTGGGGAGTTGCGGAGAGTTTGCCTTCGCTGGGGGAGAGGTTACTTAGAGGGCCTTGAAATATGCAACTCAAGAGGTGTCAGTTTTGAAATTAATGGCCCACAAAGGACTTTAAAGAGGGAAAAGGAGATCCTGATTTTTTTTGACTAAGTTTGGTTACCTATTGAATATAAGCCAAAGAGGCCAAGAGTACAACCCAGTTTGGGGACCTTAACAGCTCTCCCACTGGCTGGATTTCTCAGCACCCCTCCTTCATATTCCTCTCTCCAGACCCCACTCCCCACCTGCCTACTTCCTGAGGGATGCCAGCCAGTCTGACCCAGGGTTTTTGCTCCCCAGTTGGGCTCTCCTGGAACCGACCATGTGCTTCATTCAGAACACCTCTGCCTCTGAAATGTGCCTTTACCCTGTAGGGTATTGGTGGCCCCCTCTCCTTCAACACACAGAGGCTTCTGGAACTTCAGGTTAAATCTACTGTCCCCACCTGTGCTTGGTGTCCACACGGGCTGCTCACCGCTGCCACATCGATTTCACTTTACACAGCTGCAAGTCTCCATAGAAATTCTCTAACTACTCGCACTTTATTTTCTTCCATTCTTTTTTCACTGTCCCTCAAGCTCATGAGACCCAAATTGACCACATATTTGGAGATTCTCACAAGCATTTATATACACACAGAACACGACAAAAGAAAATGAGTCACTTACGGCCGTAGCACCCTGAATGCACCTGATCTCGTCAGATCTTGGAAGCTAAGCAGGGTCTGGCCTGGTGACTACCTGGATAAGAGAAGAGGAGGAGTTGCCTCACAGATACTCCAGTTGGAAAGCCCACGCTCCCAAAATGACATTCAGAGTAAGAAGTTGGGGATTTTGAGAGATTCATAGACAGTGGATTAGAAACTGGAAAATGGATGTTAACCTTGGGCCTCTCGTAGAGATCACACCTGGCTGTTCCACTTCGGCTATTCTCAGAATCATTAGAGTTTAGATATTCTTAGGCTGAGTGAAACGTGACATATTGGCTTCCATGGCAACACAGTTATAAATTGTTTTGGCAACGAATATTCGCTTCAGAAAGCATTCTAGGATTTCTCCTTCAACCCACAAGCACACAATTTCCTAAAACATAATGAGCCCATTTCTGCTCAAAAGCGGTTGCCACCTACCAGTGCAATGCCCTCCATGTCTTCAACCACACTGTACGGCAAAGGGCCTTACTTAGAGGGCCTCGACATAGGCAACTCAAGAGGTCTCAGTGGTTTAGAGACAGAGTTGGACTACAGAATATACAGCTCTTAGTCTCCTTTACAGATTTCAGGGAGATTGGGAAGGGTCCCCCATAACTCAGCTTCCTTTAGAAGGTTGCATAAACTATTTTAATGATAGTAGGTGCTTAAAGCAGAAACTGAGGCCATGGCAATTCTACAGCATTTGAAGCCAGTCTCCTTTAAGGCACAAAACTGGGCTCACAAATTCACACCAAACCTAGTGTTTCATTCACCTATCAAAGGTGAAGTTCCGTTCACCCCTGGCTTCATTGCAAAGTGTAGCCATTCCCTGAGTGGGTAGAGGAGCAGGGTTGGAGTGTCGAGTTCAGATGTCCTTATCGATATTTGCAAAGATACACATGACAGCAGAGGTTGTCTGAAACCTTTATGCTCAGAATAGCACTATTGACTTGTAAAGTGTAAGTGATTAAAATGTACCGAGTACCTGCCCAGTTCCAGGCATGGAGACGGGTCGGGAGGGACACAGACCGGAGTCAAACACAGATGCTGCCTTCACGGAACTCATTCTGGTGCATGGAGGTGAAAAAAGGATAGAAATGACCGGGACGCATATCCCAAAGGAAAACCCATCGAGGTATCATATCACAAAATATCACATCATTGCTTCCATTCTAACCTCTGCAGGATTAATGCAAAAAGGGAGGTTCCAAGAGCCATAGGAGGCCAGAGGTGGTGGGTTTCAGGCAGTCAGGGGACCCAGGACTGGCTTTGTGAAGGTAGCATCACATTGGCCATGCAAACGGTGCCACTTAAGCCGGTGGAAAGGGCGTGCCAGGAGGAAGCAGCAGAATAAAGACTCAGAAGTAATGTTTGGGGTATGTTCAGGGAATAACGAGTATTTCAGAGTGGCTGTAATTCAGGTATTTGTGAAAAAGTAATGATGTCAGAGGGAGGACCGTCTATCTCATGGCGACCTCTGGTTGCCTTTGAAGGTTTCTGAGCATAGACATGACATGCTGCAAGTGTACTGACCTGTGTTCCCCAAACAGACGAACAGCACCCAGAGATTACTTTCCCTTCTAGAAGATTAAACTTCCAGATGGTGGGTCCATGGGGAGTCTGTGGAAGGTTATCCCAATCTGGTTTTGTCTACCCAGTTTCTTTCCTGTGTTCTGAAGCTTTCTAAGCATCCAGATGGTCTTCTTCCCCCAAATGACTTTTAAAAATAAGTGATGTGTTCCAATTCATCAAGGGATTATCTTATCTCACTCACAAAGGGAGAGGGAAGGAAAGGATGTCATAAGTTTATATACTGAACATTTGGCCAATGTCAGAATAAGAGTATGTTTTCCTGAGTCCGGAAGGCTCCGGGCTCCTCTTCTAGGCTATAAATTGGCATTTGGGGAAGCATCTCTTTCTGTACATCCCATACTATCAGATGCAACATCTAAGTGGGCATTTTCTGCCAGACTCAGCCAAAGGGAAGAGGTGAGAAATTGACACTCCTTAGGTTCAGAAAACAGCCAGATTCCTACAATGTACCACATCCGGGGAAAACATAAACATCCTGGGTTCCTGCGGCGCGGGAAGGGGTCCGGGAGGGGGAAGAGCATGTTTCAGAGAGAAGGGCTGGGAAGGAAGGAAGTGAGGAAGGGTGGGGAGGTTGTCTTCTAGAATAGAATGTGACAGCTAACATCCAAGATGGCCTTCCAGGTGCTGGGACCTTACAAGCCTCTTCTTAAATTGTCACAGCCACCCTAACAGCAGTGGCCCCATTTTGTGGAGGAGAGAATAGGTTTCTGGGGGTTGGGTCAACTGCTGAGGGAGGTGCTGGGCCAATTCTAACTCATGCAAGTGGTTCCAAAGCATCTTCTGACACAGATGGGAGGGTGGGATGCAGGGCCTGGGCTAGGAGGAGTTTTTGGGAACTGGCACAGATGGGAGCTCCCACCCAGGTCTGCAGAAGCCCGTCCGAGTGCGGGTAACTTGGGAGCCTGTGCTCCGTGGGCAGCTCACGCTGTAGACTGGATTCACAAACACGGCACTCATGTAAGAGAGCAAAGAACCATCTGGAGAAGTGGAAGTCAGTGTGTAAAGGCAGAAGCTGAA
Source organism: Homo sapiens (assembly GCF_000001405.40). Lineage (NCBI taxonomy): Eukaryota > Metazoa > Chordata > Mammalia > Primates > Hominidae > Homo > Homo sapiens. Next base: position 12,922,148 of record NC_000010.11, on the reverse strand, counting down.
CAGATGATAAGAGGAATGGGAGTCAGAGATAAAGCCTGGACTGTACATGGTGGTAATGTTTGTATAACGTGAATGTCCTTAATGCTACTGAATTGTACACTTAGGAATAGTTAAGATAGGGTCAGGCACAATGGCTCATGACTGTAATCCCAGCACTTTGGAAGGCTGAAGTAGGAGAGTTGAGAACAGGAGTTCAAGACCAGCCCAGGCAACATGGCAAGACCCATCTCTACATAAAATTAGCCAGGCATGGTGGCCCACACCTGTAGTCCTATCTACTCGGAAGGCTGAGGCAGGAGGATCACTTGAGCCCAGAAGTTTCGAGGCTACAGTGAGCCATGATTGGGCCATTGCACTCCAGCTGGGTGACAGAGTTAGACCCTGTCTTAAAAACAAAAAACAAAAAACAGAAACCGGCTACGATAACTTTTATGGTCTATGCAGTTAACTACAATGCAAAAAAAATTATAGTTGTGCAAGATAAATAGTGCCAGAGACTGGTTGCACAACAATGTAATTGTACTTAACACTACTGAAGTGTACACTTAAAATGGTTAAGATGGTAAATTTTATGTTATGTATATTTTGCTACAATTTTTAAGAGATCATTTGAAAAAGTTGAAAAAGATAAGGCCTGGCTTTTGCACTGGTCAGAGAAGTGTGACAGTGAGACAGAGCTTCCAGGTTCAAGTTCATCAGAGGGCACCAATGGGACGAGTCGGGGAGGGGGTTGGCTGCTGAAGTTGCACAGGCCAGCTCTGGGCCCCGGGCTGACCTTCCCCACAGACGTACACAGACAGCCTTGGGGACAGATGACAGCACAGAGGATGTATAAAGTTTACAAGTCAAAAGGTTACCTTCTTGCAGACTAGAATGGAATTTGATGTTCATTAACTGTGAGTTTTTAAAAGCTCGGACTGACATCCTTCCTCAATTGCCTCCTTAATTCATTTTAAATTGAATACCCAGACTGCTCGCAAAAGAGAGATTATGGAAGAAGATGAGAAGGCAGTCAGCTGGAAAGGTTGTTTTATTTTTTTGGTAACTAAAACCACGATGTCCCAGGCAAATATCATAATATGTAGCTTGCCTGCATTTTTCTTGAGAGTAGTTGGAAGGCAGTTGTTCTGCAAAGAGAATGTTCTCATATGCTGCCGAGGGTTAGGGGAAGCCAAGGCTGCTGAAGCCTGCCCTCCTCTGTGAGCCCCTGGTTTGCAAAATAAATCTTCTTATTTGAAGACCTCAAGTTTTCCTAGAGGTAGTCAGTCTACCATGGAGGTTATGAGCATGGGAGCGCTACCTTTTGAGATAGACCTTCTGATTTCCAATTCAAGCTCCTTCACTTGTCACGGGGACTTAGGCAAGTGACGTCAGTGCTCTGAGCTTCGCTTTTATAATCCACAAAACAGGGAGAATGGTACAACCTCCCATATGGGTGGAATGTCAGAATATAATAAGATACGTGTTCAAAACTTCTCATACAGTGCCTGGTATTAGTAACATTTTAAAGTTTTTAAAACTTTTAAAGTTTGCCATTAAAAGTCATGGCAAAAACCACGATTACTTTTGCGCCAACCTAATACGTAGTAAATTCTCAAAGAATGGTTTCTCCCTCACCAGAATGAAGTGAAGATAAAGTCCTCAGTCGAGGAAACTTTCTGCCCTGGGTAAATAACTGCTCCCTGCCACAGCCATGAACCAGCCCTGAAATGTCCACATTTGATGTCCAAAGCCTTAGTGATGTGGTTTGGCTCTGTCCCCACCCAAATCTCATCTTGAATTGTACTGCCACAATTCGTACATGTTGTGGGAAGGACCCCGTGGGAGATAATTGAATCATAGGGACTGTTTCCCCCATACTGTTCTCCTGGTAGTGATTAAGTCTCATGAGATCTGATGGCTTTATAAGGTGTTTCCCCTTTGACTTGGCTCTCATTCTCTCGTGCCTGCCGCCATGTAAGACGTGCCTTTCACCTTCCACCATGATTGTGAGGCCTCCCCAGCCACATGGAACTGAGAGTCCATTAAACCTCTTTTTCTTTATAAATTACCCAGTCTTGGGTATGTCTTTATCCACAGCATGAAAACAGACTAATGCACTTAGCATGTTTAGCAGCTTCTCCTTTTTTATGGGACACAACCTTCTGCTGAGAACCCTTCCGGGCCCACTAGATGGAATTTGTGACTGGTGGCTGGGGAGCCTCAATTCCACTCATGATCAGGCTCCAAGTCACTGCCCATCCCTGGTCAAACTCCCTCTCTCTTTCCTGAGCATAGCTTTTCTTACATAAACTGGCAACTGCCAAGTTTTGTGATCCCTGCAGGGCAAGGATTTAATCATAGCACATCTCCCTGGGAGCTGCATGCCATCTCGGGCTAACGCCCACCCCCCACCCACCCCGGGCACTCTGTGGGGCCACAAGTCTGTGCTGAGCATGGAAGGAGCTGCAAGATGCAAAGGCATCAAGGCGACTGCAAGAGGAATACAGCCCCGGAGCCGATAATCCCTTTAAAGAGTGTGACTCTTAAAATAGTACTCATTTCTTTTTTTTTTTTTTTTTTAGACAGTCTTGCTCTGTAGCCCAGGCTGGAGTGCAGTGGCATGATCTCAGCTCACTGCAAACCCTGCCTCCTGGGTTCAAGTGATTCTCCTGCCTAAGCCTCCCAAGTAGCTAGGACTACAGGCACAAAACACCACACCCAGCTAATTTTTGTATTTTTAGTAAAGACAGGGTTTCACCATGTTGGCCAGGCTGATGGCAAACTCTTGACCTCAAGTGATCCGCCGGCCTCAGCCTCCCAAAGTGCTGGGATTACAGGCGTGAGCCACCTTGCCTGGCCAATAGTACTCATTTCTAGTTACACAAGCAAAGCATGTACAAATACATGATCTGTGTAAAAATGTAAGCATTGCAAGTAAAAACACAGCTTCCTTTTCACTCTAACAATAAAGACCCTTCCAGCCTAGGTCTTTACACACATAATACATAGACCCTTAAAAAATAATTATGTGGGCATTTTAAAAACTGTATGGTAACATACTATAGGAATGGTGCTAGAACTTGGTGTCTTTTTTGTTTTGTTTTGTTTTTCGAGATGGGGTCTTGCTCTGTCACCCAGGCTGGAGTGCAGTGGCACAATCTCGGCTCACTGCAAGCTCCGCCTCCCGGGTTCACGCCCATTCTCCTGCCTCAGCCTCCCGAGTAGCTGGGACTACAGGCGCCCACCACCATGCATGGCTAATTTTTTGTATTTTTTTAGTAGAGATGGGGTTTCACCGTGTTAGCCAGGGTGGTCTTGATCTCCTGACCTCGTGATCCACCTGCCTCGGCCTCCCAAAGTTCTGGGATTACAGGCATGAGCCACCGTGCCCGGCCAACTTGGTGTCTTTTTTTTCTACTCGATAATGTATGTTGGAAGCCTTCCCCCTTCCATCTGTTTAATCACACATAGTGTTACATGGGGTAGATGGGCTGCAGTTTATTTAACTGTTCTCCTACACATGGGTCTTAAAGTCATTCCTGCTTTTTCAGTGATCATCCTGTTATCAACATCTGTGCATATTTTTCTAGATAGGTAATGAGAAGAAGGGGAAATGCAACTTTTATAGGTTAAATCCAGAATGAAGCATAACATTTTATGGCTTTGGTTCCCTGATTAGGAATTACAGAAGGAATCAAGTGTCTTTAAGGAAAAATAATGGGCATAGAAACTGATCAGAGAACTAAAGTATAACTTTGCAATAGTCTAATACAGTTTGTAGTGTTTGATCCATTCAAAGCTTGTATGGAACTGCAAAGGTTTCATACTATATTTTAAGATCTTTATAGAATCCTTCTGTATTTTAAAAACGTTGGCCAAGAAATTTTTGAAAAAGGAATATCCTATCACATCATATATTATAAAACTAATTTAACAAAAGTCATATGGCACTGGAGTACTTATTAACCCATAGCTAAACAGGACAAGGTGGGTCCGATCAGACCTTAGCATATGTAAGAATCCTAAAGAAGGAGGTAATACAGATGGGTAGGGAAGGGAGCCGTATTTAATAAAATATGGGAGAATAATTGATTTGCTACTTGGAAAAGCTTTATATACTCCCTTCATACCATATACCCAACTAGATTCTAGGTAAACTCAGGAATTTGAAAAGTTAAACCTTCAGTCAGTATGACATTTTTAAAAAACAACTTGGCAACATAAAGCCATACTTCTAAGAAATGTTCATAACTTCTAGTAATTTCACTTTTGAGTGTCAATCCTAAAGAAATCATCCTGATAAAGAAAAACGTGGCACATCAAAATCTTTAGGAAAGTACAAAATTCAGTAACAGCCCACAGACTCAACAAAAGGACTACGGTAAAGTAAAGAGTCATCTGAAATGATTACAGCCATCAGAATAATGAAACTCGGGTTGCAATGTTTTTATACCATGTAAATTTTAGAAAGCGAAATTCACACTAAAAGACACTGTGTTCCAAGAAATAGGATGTCAGCAAGATGACAAAAGAGGACTCTTCACCACTCATCTCCCACGCAGAAAATCAGTTTGAACAACTCTCCCTACATGAAAACACCTTCCCAAGAGCTGGGAAAACCAGGTGAGAGATCACAGTATCTCAATGTGGCATAGAAATAAGGACATTTCTGGCCGGGCGCAGTGGCTCACGCCTGTAATCCCAGCACTTTGGGAGGCCGAGGTGGGCGGATCACGAGGTCAGGAGATCGAGACCATCCTGGCTAACACGGTGAAACCCCGTCTCTACTAAAAATACAAAAAAAAATTAGCCGGGTATGGTGGCGGGTACCTGTAGTCCCAGCTACTCAGGAGGCTGAGGCAGGAGAATGGCATGAACCCGGGAGGCGGAGCTTGCAGTGAGCCGAGATAGCGCCACTGCAGTCCGGCCTGGGCAACAGAGCAAGACTGTCTCAAAAAAAAAAAAAAAAAAAAAAAAAAAAAAAAAGAAGAAGAAATAAGGACATTTCCAACATCACCTCCCCCAACCCCGGGCAGCACAGTATGGAGAGAGATCCTCTCCACTTGGGGGAAGGTAAGGGAAGTGAGCTCTGGACTTCGCCTCAGACCTACACTGGGCCTGCCCCAGAAAAACCCAGTGCCATGCAAGGGCCTCACAGCCCCAGACTCCAGGCTGGTACCATTGCACTGGGCATAAAGGCCTGCTCTGGCACCCGACCTGCCCAATGGACTTGGTCTCCGGGCCCAACCCAGTAGCCCCAAGCTCTGGACTGCTTCCAGCACTTAGATGGCTCTCATAGCTCCAGGCTTCAGATCCACCCCAGCACCAGACAGGCCCCTGCAGCCTTACTCAGCAAGCCAGCAGCCACAGACCCAGCCTCCAGGCCAGCCTTGTGCTAGGCCAGTCCTCATGGCCCCAGACTTCAGGCTTACTTCCGGTTCCAGATCAGATGTGAGCCAGGTTGGTCCACTTGGCTCCAGGCTTTGAGCCCGCCATAGTACCAGGTTGGCACCCCTGGCCCCAGGCTGGCAATTTTTTTTTTTTTCTGAGATGGAGTCTCTCTCTGTCACCCAGGCTGGAGTGCAGTGGCGTGATCTCAGCTCACTGCAACCTCTGCCTCCCAGGTTCAAGCGATTCTCCTGCCTCAGGTTGGTCCACATAGCTTCAGGCTTTGAGCCCACCATACTATCAGGTTGGCACCCGTGGCCCCAGGCTGTCAATTTTTTTTTTTTTTTTTTTTGAGATGGAGTCTGTCTCTATCCCTCAGGCTGGAGTGCAGTGGCACGATCTCAGCTCAACCTCCGCCTCCCAGGTTCAAGAGATTCTCCTGCCTCAGCCTCCTGAGTAGCTGGGATTACAGGCATGCACCACCATGCCCAGCTAATTTTTGTATTTGTAGTAGAGACGGGGTTTCACCATGTTGGCCAGGCTGGTCTCAATCGCCTGCCCTTGTGATCCGCCCACCTTGGCCTCCCAAAGTGCTGGGACTTCAGGCGTGAACCACTGCGCCTGGCCCAGGTTGGCATCTTAAGACATAGTCTCCAGGCCTGCCCAGTGCCAGGGCAGCCCCTGCATTGCTATTCTCCAGCAGACCAGGGGTTTAGGCCTGTCCCAGGACAATCGAGTGCTTGGCCTGTCCTTGAGAACCCAGGCTCCAGGACCATCCACTGTGAACCCAGGCTCCAGACTAGCCCCCATGGCTCCAGGTACCCAGGCTCCATACCTGCCCCAGGTCCACCCTGCAGACCCTGGTGCCAGGTCAGCACCCATGGTCTCAAGACCAAGGGTTGCCTTCATGGACTCAGGCTCCAGGCCTGTCCCAGTGCCTGGCCAAGACCTACAGATCCAGGGTCAAGGTCCACCACAATACCTTGTCAGTTTCTGTGAACCTAGGCTTCAGGCTGGCTTCCACAGTACCAATTAACAAGTTCACCGTAGTGGATCCAGGCACCAGGCCAGCCTACCCAAAGGCTCCAGTAGCAAACCCACCCATGACCACACAAGACAGCCTGCCCAGAATCTCTGGACAGGCTACTGGTGAAAGGCTTTCTCAAACAAAGACTGAAATAAATCTCTACTTCCTCAAATGTGCAAACACCAAATTATGGCCACAAAAACAATCATGGAAAAATCACATCACCAAAGGAACAAAATAAAGCACCAGTAACTGACTCTAAAGATACAGAGATTTATGAGCTACCTGACAAAGAATTCAAAATAATTGTTTTAAGGAAGGTCAGTGACCCCACCCCACCCTGCAAAATGCAGAAAAACAATTGAACCAATCAGGAAAATGAATGACCCAAACAAGACATTTAATGAATGGACCACTAGACATATATATAACATTCCATCCAACAGCAGCAGAATGCACATTCTTCTCAGGTGCACACAGAGAATTCTCCAGGATAGATAATAAATTTAAAAATTCTGAAATCCTACTGAGTATCTTTTTTAACCACAATCGTTTGAAACCAGAAATCAATTCTGGTTTCAGAAAAATTCTTCCTGTTATAAGGATTTTGGGAAATTCCCAAATATGTGGAAATTAAGCAACATGTTCCTGAACACCAATGGGTCAAAGAAAAAAATTTTAAAAATGTTTAAAGTGTCATGAGACAAATGAAAATGGAAACACAACATACCAAAACTTACGGGATGCAGCAAAAGCAGTTCTAAGAGAGAAGTTTATAACAATAAATGCCTGCATCAAAAAAGAACTTGCCAAGTAAACATCTAGTGTTACCTCAAGGAACTACAAAAAGAAGAACAAACTAAGCCCAAAGTTAGAAGGAAAGAAATAATAATAAATGAGAGAGTAGAAAAATAATACAGAAGATCAGCAACATAAAGAGTTGGTTTTTTGAAAAGACAAAACTGACAAACCTTTAGCTAGACTAAGTAAAAAAAGACAACTCAGGCCAGGCATGGTGGCTCACGCACACCTGTAATCCCAGCACTTTGGGAGGGCTAACTGGGTGGATCACTTGAGGCCAGGAGTTTGAAAACAGCCTGGTCAACATAGCAAAATCCCGGCTCTACACAATACAAAAAATTAACCAGGCATGGTGGTGTATGCCTGTAGTCCCAGCTGCTTGGGAGGCTGAGGCAGGCGAATCGCTTGACCCAGGAGGCGGAGGTTGCAGTGAGCCAAGGACACGCCACTGCACTTCAGCCTGGGTGACAGAGCAAGACTCTGTCTCAAAAGAAAAAACAAAAGATAAAATCAGAAATGAAAGAGGAGAAATTACACTGATACCGCAGAAATACAAATGACTAAAAAAGACTACCACAGACAATCATATGCCAACAAATTAGATAACTTACAAGAAATGGATAAATTCCTAGACACATACAACCTACTATGATTAAGTCATGAGTAAACAGAAAATTTGAACAGAACAGTAATGAGTAAGAAGATTGAATTGGCAGTAAAAAGTCTATCATCAAAGAAAATCACAGGATCTGATGGCTTTGCTACTAAATTCTACCAAACATTTAAAGAAGTATACTGATTCTTCTCAAATTCTTCCACAAAATTGAACAGGAGGGAATACTTCCAAACTCACCGTACATGGCATCACTCTGATACTAAAAGCAGACAAAAACACTATAAAAAGAAGCTGTTACAAGCCAAAAATCTCTGATGAACGTAGATGCAAAAGTTCTCAAGAAAATACTAGTAAACTGAATCCAACAGCACATTAAAAGGATCATTTGCCATGATCAAATGACATTTATCCCAGGGATATAAGCATGGTTCAACATACACTAATCTATAAATGAGATACATCACATTAATGGAATGAAGGACAAAAACCTTATGATTATTTCAATAGATGCAGAAAAACCATTGGACAAAATTCAACTTCCTTTAATGATAAAAAAACTTTCAACAAATTAGGTATAGAAGGAATGTGTCTCAACACAATAAAGGCCACGTAAGACAAACCCACAGCTAACATCATACTCCGTGGTGAATAGTTGAAAGCTTTTCTTCTAAGATCAGGAATAAGACAAAGATGTTCACTCTTACCACTTCTATTCAACATAGTACTGGAAGTTCTATCCAGAGCAGCTAGGCAAGAGAAAGAAATGAAGGGCATCCAAATTGGAAAGGAAGAAGTCAAATTGTCCCTGTTTGCAATGGCATGATCTTACACACAAAAAGAACCCAAAGAGTCCACCCAAAACTATTAGAGCTAATAAACAAATTCAGTAAAGTCTGAGGATACAAAATCAACACACAAAAATCAGTAGTATTTCTATGCACTAACAATGAATTATCTGGAAAAGAAATCAATAAAACAATCCTATTTACAATAGTTACAAAATAATAACATACTTAGGAATAAACTTAACCAAAATGGTGAAACCACTGTACACTGAAAACTATAAGACATTGATGGAAAAAACTGAAGATACAAATAAATGGGAAGATATCCTGTGCTCATAGATTAGAAGAATATTGTTAAAGTGTCTATACTACCAGAGTGATCTACAGATTCAATGCAATCCCCATCAAAAACCTTAATGGAATTTTTCATAGAAATAGAATCATAAAATTCATATGGAGCCACAAAAGACCTTGAATAGCCAAGGAATCTTGAGGGGAAAAAAAGAAGCATTGTACTACCTGATTTCAAAATATACTACACAGCAATAGTAATCAAAGCGGGATGGCACTGGCCTAAAAATAGAAATCTACCAATTGAACAGAATAGAGCGCCAAGAAATAAATCCATGTGTATGGTCAATGGATTTTCGACAGAGATGCCAAGACATGCAACGGGGAGAGGACAGTCTCTTCAGTAAACGGTGCTGGAAAAATTGAGTATCTACGTGCAGAGAATGAAATTAGGCCCTCATCTCACGCCATATACAAAAATCAACTCAATGTTTAAAGACTTAAGCGTAGACCTGAAACTGTAAACCTACCAGAAGCAAACACAGGGGCAGAGCTCCATGACATTGGTCTGGGCAATCATTTTTTGGGTATGGCCACAAAAGCATAAGCAACTAAAGGGAAAAGATGCAAATGGGAACACATCAAAGTAAAAAGCTCCTGTCCAGCAGAGAAAATGATCAACAGAGTGAAAAAAACACCTACGAAATGGAAGAAAATATTTACACACCACACATCTGATAAGGGGTTAATAACCAAAAGAAACCAAACACCCAACAGCAAGAAAGCCAACAACCTGATTTAAAAAATGGGCAAAGGACCTAAATAGACCTCTAGAAAGACGACATACAAATGGTCAACAGGTATATTTAGAAATGTTCAACATCACTAATCAGGGACACGCAAATTAAAATGAATATGAGATATCATCTCACACCCGTTAGAAGGGCTATTACCAAAAAGACAAAAGATAAGTGTTGGTGAGGATGTGGAGTAAAGGGAACCCTTGTGCACTTGGTGGGAATGTAAATTAGTAATTATGGAAAACTGTATGGAGTTTTCTCAAAAAATTAAGAACAGAGCTACTGTATGATCCAGCAATCCCACTACTGGGTATACATCCAAAGTCAGTATGTCGAAGAGATATCTACACTCCCATGTTCACTGAAGCATTACTTACAATAGTCGAGATAGGGAATCAAACTAAAGTGTCTGTCAATGAATGAATCGATAAAGAACATGATGTGTATATACTCAGTGGAATACTATGCACCCTTAAAAAAGGATATACCATCATTTGTGACAAAATGGATGAAACTGGAGGATATTAAGTGAAATAAGCCAGGCACCAGTACTGCATGATCTTATTAATATTTAAATGTAGAATCTAAAAAAAATGAGCTAAAAGAACCAAAAAGTAGAATGGCAGTTACCAGAGACTTGGAAGGGGTATTGGAAGATGCTGTTCAAAGGGTACAATATTTCAGTTACAAGGAATAACTTCAGGAGATCTAATGGACATCATGGTGGCTACAGTTAATAACAATACAATGTATGTTTGAACATTGTTAAAAATAGATTTTAAGTGTTCTCACTACAAAAAAATGGTATGTGAGGTGATACATCGTTAATTAGCCATGTCAGTGTACACATATTTCAGATCACGTTGTACATGTTCAATATAAATTTTGTCAATTTAAATATTTTTAAAATGTTAAAGTAAATACAGTGTTTATAACCAGGTTTAAGAAATCATGCCACTAAAATAGAAATGCAAGTTGTCTTTGAGTGGTGAGATTATAGGTGACTTTTTCCCATTTCTCATTAGTTTATAATTTTCAAAAAAACATTAGCGTATATTAGCTTTAGAATGTGTTATTTCATTCAGCAGTGACTCTGTTGAGGACTTACTGTGTGTCAGGCACAGTATTAGGCACTAGGGCTATGGCAGTAAAAACCAGAGATAGAGTCCCCGTTTTTTAGTCTAGTGGAAGAAAGAACAAATTAGCCATTAATAAGGAAATCCAACAATGTTATAAGGCACTGAAGAGAAGCAGGTGATGCAACAGCCTCATTAGGAGAGGTGACTTATGGGGTGACAAGGGAACACATCTGCAGAGATGACACAGGAACCAGGATGAGAATGAACCTGCCTTGCAGAGTCATGGAATGGCCTTCCAGAAAGATGGAACAGCAAACTGTTGAAGAGGTCGCTAAGAATAACTGTGGTCGTTTATAGAATGGAACAGTAATTCAGACATATTTAAAATTCTCACAGATAATATTCATTTCACAGGGGCTGGCCGCAACTATGCACTGGGGAGGATTCTGTAATTATACTGCCTTCCACATATAAATTTTGCCCTTGGCCGGGCTCTGTGGCTCACACCCATAATCCCAGCACTTTGGGAGGCCAAGGTGGGTGGATCATTGGAGGTCAGGAGTTTGAGACCAGCTTGGCCAACATGGTGAAACCCTGCCTCTACTAAAAATACAAAAATTAGGGTGCCTGTAGTCCCAGCTACTCAGGAGGCTGAGGCAGGAGAATCGCTTGAACTCGGTAGGTGGAGGTTGCAGTGAGCCAAGATCACGCCACTATATTCTAGCCTGGGCAACAGAGCAAGACTCTGTGTCAAAAAAAAAAAAAAAATTTTTTTTTTTTTTTTTGCTCTGACTAGTTATTGAAACTTGCAAGTTTGCAAGGACTTGTGCCAGATACCAAGCCAGGAAGGACAATCCTTGAATTGGCAGAAACACGTATCATTGTGCTTGTCATCTGTTGTTTATAGGTTTTCCAATAATATTTTTACCAAATAAAATATTAACTGAGAATTTATTTGGGGACATATGGTTATGGACTGAGTCTGGCAATATGTAGCAGCAACTGCATTCGACATTGAATGGCTTTAAGGCACACCAAATACACCATGCTTTTTCTCATTATCAGTATCTCTGCCTTAAAAAGGAAAACAGCTACGTAGCCAGCAAGCGGCACAACCACATTTGAAGCAAGGTCTTGCTAAATTGCACCCACAGCTCTTTCCAATCCAAGGAGAGTCAGCTCTAGGGCTATCTCAACTCCAGGGCCACCTGTCTTGGTTCAGTAGCAGAAAAAAGCCTGTGTCTGGGTTTGATAAATTCTCCCAAATAAACAGACTCTTAGCTGAAGCAGGACCTGGATGTGGCTGTGTGGACAAGTCATCAGTCTCTGAGAAGTAAACATGAACATGATCACAGCTCATAAATTCCCATCGCATTCCCCGGGAGGGCGGATGGCCAGGAGCCCTTGGGGTTTTCAGCCAGTACTGAGGATACAGGCACACACCCCAGCCCTTGGGAGGAAGGTGGAGCCTGGCCTTTCACTGCCTTTTTCAGTTGAAGAGCTGGAGACTGGCCCCTAATTACCCAATACCCTAGACCCTGAAAAGTACCCCATGGAAACCAGCATCAGATTAGAGATGGGTCAGGTGGATAGCACCAGTGGGGAGGGAGCAGGACAGCTTTGGCTTTGGGTCAGTGCCTGTCTAGGATCCCCCTCCTTGGGAGACCTGGTACCCTGCACCGTTAGTCCACGGTTCAGCCTTCCACTCTCCACAGCCTCATTGCTTTGCCCTGACACCGGAAGGGAGAGCCTGACTTCAGAGCCCTTCCGGCACTAAGCACAGGGGTCCACAGAGCAAGGGGTAAGCTTTGACTGGGCCAATGACCTGTTCTTCCCTTGGGCAACAGCAATGACCCAAGACATGGAGCTTACAGAGCTGATGGGGGACACAGTGCACCTCACTCAGCCCGGGTTGGCACACCCACACTCCATGGGCAGGGCAGGAGTAAGCATGGCCCCCGGGTGCCCCACTGGCAGCCACCTGTCAACTGCTGGGCACGGTGGGGAGAAGATAACATCATCAGGTCCTTTTGCCCTTCCTCCCCTGCAGCCTGGGATGCCACGGAGGCTGAGCATACACACATCTGAGGGCCGATGGTCAGTGGCCATGAATGTCACTCTTCCTTCCCAAGGGAATGCCTGCATCAGCCAGGCTGTAGTGCCCTTATAGCCCTCCTGCTGTTTTCAAGGGAGAGAATTAACTGGCCGTGACTGGCTAAGGACTGAGGTGCCCAAGGAGGCTTTGACTAAACAAGCAGAGGCATCCAAGGTTGGAAGATGTCTTTCAGATGCTGTAACTCACAGGACCATGAGTGTCCAAGGATACCAGGAAGATGGAGCCTTGCATCTAGACCAGAGCCCCATCCACTGTGATGTGGATTTTCTGGGATCCTGAAAATAAAAGTAGAACATCTTCCTTCCCACTACACCTGGACACCTTCTCTGCACTCACCATGGACAGTGGTCAGCATTAAGAAATCACAGTTCTGGCCAGGCGCCGTGGTCCACACCTGTAAACCCAAGCACTTTGGGAGGCCAAGGCGGATGGACCACGAGGTCAGGAGTTTGAAACCAGCCTGGCCAACACAGTGAAACCCTGTCTCTGCTAAAAATACAAAAAGTAGCCGGGCATGGTGGCATGCACTTGTAGTTCCAGCTACTTGGGAGGCTGAGGCAGGAGAATTGCTTGAACCTGGGAGCCGAGATCACACCTCTGCACTCCAGCATAGGCAACAGAGGGAAACTCTGTCTCAAAAAAAAAAAAAAAGAAAAATCACAGTTCTTAGCCAAGAATCTGTGATTTCAGCACCCTTCTACCCCTTGGTAGTTCTAGAAAAAGGATTTAGAGTTGAAATCAGTATTCCATGACCTAGTGTTTCCCAGGCTTCTTTGTATCACAGACTAGATAAAATGTTTGCAAAACTCCCTGGGAGAAACACAGGAGACCGCTCGTAACTGAGCAGCCTTGACACTCACTCTTGTAGTCTATTCTTGCTGCATGTTGGAGATCTCCACCAGAGACCGATGAGATCTGGGGTAAAACAAAGTTAGAGAGGTTTAATGCAGGACCAATGTGCACAGCTGATACTAAGTGTTACATCACAGAGGAAGCCATAATATGCAGCATTTCTGAAACTTTTTTAACCAGAACCACCCTTTTGGTCCCCACGTAAACATCTAATGAGACGAGTGTCCTGGAGACTCCATTTTGGGAAACCTTTGTAGTAGATTTATCTGAAGACGTGGCTTTATGATCTCTGTAGTAGAACTTAGCTAATAAACTCCCCTTTCCTCTGATGGCAGGCAATTCACCCAAGACAGCTCAATGTTTCCTGATTTTAATCATGGGCCATCAGCAGGACTTAACCCCTGGCCATTTAAGATCTTGTCCCCCTGCTTCCCACATCCAGCTGCTACTGCGCTCCAACTCTCAGCAGGGCTGGCCCTGGCCCCAGCTTCTGAAATGTGATCCCTTCTCCTGCACTTACCCAGGTTTTCCATCATCTAGCATCTCCCCTCTAGAATGGATTTTTCCTCATCTGCGTCACATCCTGCAATTCTTAAGGGATTTGGTATGGGGATGTACAAAATAAGCTAGTCAACAGGGGGCGGGCAGGTGGGGGCAGGGAGAAAAGGAAAGTAAGGAAAAGGCACCAAGTTCAGGGCTCCTTAAATCCAGCTCCCAGATCTTACCAGAACAAATCGTCAAAACTAATCTTCTTTTTTCTTTTTCTTTGAGACAGAGTCTTGCTCTGTCACCCAGGCTGGAGTGCAGTGGTGCGATCTCAGCTCACTGCCAACTCCTCCTCTCGGGTCAAGCGATTCTCCTGCCTCAGCCTCCCGCGTAGCTGGGAGTATAGGTGTGCACCACCACACCTGGCTAATTTTTCTATTTTTAGTAGAGATGGGGTTTTGCCATGTTGGCCAGGCTGGTCTCAAACTCCTGACCTCAAGTGATCCTCCCACCTCAGCCTCCCAAAGTGCTGGGATTACAGGCGTGAGCCACTGCACCCGGCAAAACTAACTTTATTCCTGGGAAATGGGGCTTCACAGGGAAGATGGTGAATCCAGCTCCAGCATTAAAAGGTAGCTCCAGCTTCTTCACCGGTTTTTCATTTTCGAGTCATTGAAAATGACTTGCTTCTATTTCAACCTGCATCCCTTCATCCATTTATTAAGTGCTTACTGCATGCTAAGTGCTGGATGCAAGAATGAAAAGATGGAGCCCTTGTGTTCAAGGGACTCAGTCTGGGAGAGAGTCAGGCTAGCCAACAGTTAGAGCCCCATGCGATAAACTTGACAATGGAACCAGGAAAAGATGACAGGGCTCTTCCTTATAGGAAGACTTCAGGAGGAACCAGGAAGGCATCACAGAGGAGGTGACTCTTGAACCAAGACTTGGAGAAGAAGTAGAATGTCATCGTTTGGTTAAGGTGTGAGCAGAGATTTAGTGGAAGGAATTAGATGCAAAAAATCACAGACACTCAAGAGGACCTAGGATGCTGAGGGAGGAGGAGTTCCAGCAGCAAAGGTCAAGCTCGGGCGAACGACAATCACAAAAGCTTTGTGTGTCCTTCACCCTACACCAGGTGCTACATCAGATGCTTTACCCTTATCATCTGATTTCATCTTCAGAGCAGTTCTAGGGAAGAGGCTTTATTAGGCCCATTGTATACATGAGGAGACTGAGCCAAGACAGGTTCATTGACTTAAGCAAGACCCCACTGTCCGATGGTGGGGCTGAGTGGGCTCCCTGACCTGTGGACTCTAACAGGTATCTGGGTACGTGGAGTGTGGAATCGTTTAAGCCAGAATTCAGTCCCAGAGTTACCTGAGTCCAAAACCCCTTCCTACCCACACTGCCCGGCTACCTCCTCCCCCGGCAGCATCAGGAAGCGGACGCAGGAGAGGCTGCTGTGGCCCTGCCCAGCTAGGCCGGGTGCTGCCTCATGGAAAGGAAACTCCTGCCCCAGCCTCTTCCCTGACTCCATCTCCGCCTTCCTCTTCATTTGCCTCCCCTCCCGCCACAGCCTGGGCATGAGCGTTCCCTTTGTTTGGGCTCCTGGCACCAGGGAAGCAGCTCTTTTGACTTTGGGTGGAGCAGAGAACGAGCTGCCAAGCCACATGCAGTCATCTCAGGTTGTCCCTCCAGACAGTCCTCAGAAGAACTTCCCTGCTGTCACTTCCCAGCTTTGGGAGTTTTTTCAGCAGCTCTGGGCATCCTCCAGTGTGGTCCTGTCGAGTCATTCAGGAAACCGTTCTGCGTGGACGTGGCTCTCTGCCCACCTCCTCATAGATCTCTATCTCTAAAGGCTTTTAAAGAATGGGAGAACAAAGCTGCATTTCCAACCTGTTTATGGAAAACGCCAAAAGGCACTACGGAGGACGTGGGTAAAGGCCCATGGGCTTCCCATCAAGCTCCCCAGAGTCCCTGAATCATGTGGATAATGAAGGAATCTTGGCCTCTGCCCTCTACGGGGCCAGAAAACACAGCGCCATGTAAACTTTTCAGAATTAACCGGCCAACTGCGGGACTAGAGCAATCCCCTGCAGACCCTTATCCACACTGACAGTTGATGTTCCCAAGCAGGGCACAGGGGCTTGCTCTAGGCTCATCTGTCCAATGTCAAGGGATGCATTTTAGAAACAGTCAGTCGTGCTGGGAAGAGCTGGTTTGTTAATTTCCACCTGGAGGTTTGAAATTGGCTGCAGTACATTGAGATGGAGTCAATAGGACCTTTGACAAGGATCGTGGAGACCTTGAACCATGACCTGGCAGCCAAAGCCATCATCACAAAACAATGTCTGAAAGTGGTGGGAAAGGGGTGAGATGTGGACAGTGAGGTTCTTGGGCGTCTCTGGCACCAGGTGTTTTTTTCAAACCCTTTGCCCTTCATCCATTCTTTGCCTGTAGACCAGCTGCCCTCCAAACCCATCCTATTCCCACCTGCGTTTGCCTTGAGCCCCTCTTGAGGTTAAGATTCAGCATCTTTTCCTTGTAAAGGGCCAGATTTTAGGTTTTGTGGAAGCAGCCGTTGCAGCTACTCACCTCTGCCATTGCAGCACAACAGCTGCCACAAACAAAACATAAACTGATGAGTATAGCTGTGGTCTAATAAAACTTTATTCACAAAAACAGGCAGGGGGCCAGATGTGGCCCATAGGCCATCGTTTCCTGATCACTGCTCTGGGTTTTCTTTTTTCTTCCTTCTCATTTTTGAATCCCGAGAACAGGAACAAAGTGTTAAAAAAGCAAGCTATTTGTCTGTGTTGTTGCTTTTGGACTGTTCTTCCTTTATATTTTTACGTTTCAGAAAGTACACTTTGTCTTGTCTTTATACGTGGTTATTTAAATTAAAAGCAGCTGTGAAAGGCAAGAATCCTCTCGGTGACTCTTTGGCATGTCTGGTGCCATGAGATATTTTTTTAAAAAAACATACTGTCTTTTTGTTTAGCTTGATACAAACTTGCTATATTCCAGAATAACTGGGGGGGACTTTCTGCACCATACAGTGCCAGGCACACAATAAATGCTTCTTGCCAGAATGAATGAACATATGGAAGCCAAAACGCTTTGGAAATGAGAGGTGATTCTAGATGGTATCATGGATATACTTCCTTAACTGCTCAAGATGTTGATGGTGAAACTTTCTCACACCTGAGCTTCCCGGAGAAACCAGGAAACTTATAGGAAGACTTCAGGTGGAGGCTCCGGGTAAAGAGCTCTCCACGGATTTGTCCCGTCACTGGAGACAGGTGACCCAAAAAGGCCACATTAAGGCCACTCAATCTCATGGATGCATGAGCACCCCATCTTGCCATCCCTCCCCATTGGCCTGTGGTCCTAAGGATAGAGGAGGATTAATAACTAGTGAGCCTGAGCCAGTCTTTTTTTTTTTTTTTTTTTTTTTAAGACTGGCTTTTGCTCTGTAACTTAGGCTGGAGTGTAGTGGTGCAATCATGGCTCACAGCAGCCTCCACCTCCCAGGCTCAAGTGATCCTCTAGCTTCAGCCTCCCAAGTAGCTGGGACCACAGATGTGCACCACTATGCCGGGCTATTTTTTATTTTTATTTTTTAGAGATGGGGTCTCCCTGTGTTTCCCAGGCTGGTCTCAAACTCCTAGGCTCACGCAGTCCTCCCACCTCAGCCTCGCAAAGTGCTGGGATTACAGGCGAGAGCCACCATGCCCGGCCTAGTGAGCCAGTCTTGCCTAGTGAGTTAGTCCTCGTGGCCAAGTGGAACCACCAGATGCTCCCTCCTCCAGCTCCCATGAAATACTCACGGGAAGTGTACAGACCGATGACTGGAAAAGAATCATGATAAAATGAAAAGGGGAAAAAATTAGAACAGAAAACTGAGTAACAGCAGGACTCCAGTTTTCTTTGAAATAGTTATCTATTTATACCCGTAGGAACAATACTAGGAAGAAATGTTACAATGTCCACAGTGATTATCTCTGTACCATAGAATCATTGATGATTTTGATTTTCCTTTTGTTGGTCCCATATTTTTAAAAAATGTTTTTTCTACAATCAGTGTGCTTTGATGGTTTTAAAAAGTGTTATTTTAGACAGATAAGGAAGTATGGATATCCCAGCCTAACTTTTGTCTTTTCGAAAATAAAAGAGCAGGCTCCCAGGGCAATCTTCCCATCTGCCCTTAGGCAGGCATCCTATTGGCCACATGGAAACTTCCAGAGAAAAGCTCTGGGCAGGCAAATGCCAGAGGTACCCAAGCACCTGGGAGGCGCTGAGTGCTGCAGGCCTGAGCGGGGCCTGCCTATGAGGAGTCTGTTGCTTTGGGGCTGCCCTGTAGGACATTCTCTTTGGTTCTTCTTCAAAGAAAATATGGCAGTACCTGTTTCAGCTTGGCCTGGCCTTTCCCTGCTCTTCTCAGTTTACCAAAAAATACCACAAAGCAAATTGAGCAAATAGCGTATCTGGACCTTTTTTTCTTTTTAAAGCAGTTTTAAAAGGAGATGGATTTCATTTGGAAAGCATTCCAAAGAAAGCATTTCTTAAAGAAACACACATTTTGGAAAGCACAGCTCTCCTCTAGAAATTCTTGCTTTCTTAAACACAGGATTTTCTTTTGAGGTGATAGCTGGGATGCCAGAGGGCTCCATCGGCTCCATCAGCAGTGGCTTGGTTATTTTATGGCGTTAGCCTCAATTCACATGACACAGGCTCCCCCTACTCAGAGGCATGGCCCACTTTGCTGCAGAGATACAGACCTGCCTGCTAAGCAGTCCTGGGTCATGGCTGTGCTATGTTGGTTGTCTTGGATACGTTACTAGAGTCCTTTGATGTCTTTTGCTCCTACTGAAACCCTACCCATATTAGAGGCCACGAGGACCAAAGAATGACATGTTCACCAAGGAACTCTCATCCCATCCACGCTTTTCACATTCACCTTTGCTTGGGAATTTATCATTCCCATCTCAATGATCCTCCCACTCCGGATACACACACAGATGCACTTCAAGGCGTCCCTCTGTTCCATCTTGGTTTTTACAGCCTGGGTCAAGGTCTTCCTTTTGTCTGGGCTCTAAGTCTTGCTGGAGGTGAAATTCATCCTCTTGCTAGCCTGGAGAACAGCTGTGTCCATGGTCGAGGGCTAACTGTGAAGAGTGTTGTGTCTTAGAAAGAACTCTTAACACGTGATCACTCAAGTCCCAGCATCCTCCTCTATTTTTCACGATTTTTAAACGCAGCTTCTGAACACCGCCATCGAGCCTGCCTTCAACTCTTCTTTGATGTTATGTTCCAGCCACTATTGGGTTCTGTTCTTTGAAAATTCGAGCAAGCAGTCTTCCAAAACCCCAATCCTCTTGTTGTCATGGACTTTGGACTTTTTTGTCTTGTTCTTGGTTGAAGAATCTACCATAACTTGTAGAAAACTCATGACTTAATGAGGGAGTGTCATTATACAGTGCTCAGCCTGGTACTTGGCCATATTAAAGCCTAAGTTCCATAGCTAATATCTATCCACAAGACAATAGAAATACTGTCAGTTCTCCCGGGAATTTCTCATGCCCACCTTCTCATCTTTTTGAGGGGGTCTCATTTTGGCCAGAAGAGGGCAGTGTTGCACATATGGTCTCCCCTGTAACAGCAGCTTCCCCGGGAGCCCAGAGTTTCTCATTAAATGACAGGTATTATTGGAACATTCCACTTGGCTCCTTTTTCTTAACTGTAGGCCTAAAAAGGCCAGGGCAGCAAGGATGCAAAAACCATTGTGAACCAGGCCTTCAGGAGCTTGTGACTTGTGAATGTCAAGGCCCTTGAGTCACATTCTCCTAGTGCCACCAGGTACTTGGCGTGTGGTGTGAATAGCTACGGCGTGCCATGGAGACTGGGGAGGGGGACACATTACATACACAGGGAGACCCGGTGGAAAGCATCGTGAAAGGGGACCACAGAGGGCTTCCAAGATGGCCAGGCGGAGATGGGGAGAACAGTGCTCCAGGCGGGAGGAAGAGCCTCTGGGATGAGAAAGCGCTGATGTGTTGGAGGAAGAGCTGGGTGGGACCCAGTGTGCCTTGGGTATAAAATGTGGGAACAGAAGGAAGAACACTAAGACTGGAGATGTTGGCCGGGTCCAATCACAAAAGTTAAAGGCTTTAGGAGATTTGACTCTATCCTATAATCACGGCTAACAGTTAGTGAACGTTTACTGTGCACGAGGGCATGGTTCTAAACATTTTTCAAGTAAAACTCATGAAATCCTCCCAACAACCATGATCATCCCACTGAGAGTGGCCAGGTTCCCTGAGACGTAGACTTTGGAATAAGAGGTGCAGGTGGGCCAGGTGCAGTGACTTACGCCTGTACTCCCAGCACTTTGGGAGGCCGAGGCGGGCAGATCACGAGGTCAGGAAATCGAGACCATCCTGGCCAATATGGTGAAACCCCATCTCTACAAAAAATACCAAAAAATGAGCCGGGCTTGGTGGCTCGTGCCTGTAGTCCCAGCTACTACTCAGGAGGCTGAGGCAGGAGAATCGCTTGAACCCGTGAGGTGGAGGATTGCAGTGAGCCAAGATCACGCCACTGCACTCCAGCCTGGCGACACAGCAAGACTCCATCTCAAAAAAAGAAAAGAAAAGAAAAAATAATGTAAGAGGTATAGGTGGTGTTTTCAAGAATGCTCCTGGGATTAATACCTTGGGTAGAAAAGAACAAGAACAGGCGGAGGCAGACATCAGCCTGTGATCCAGTCTCAACAAAGGCTGTAGCCTACCCCAGGACACCCAGCAATGGGGACCGCCCTTCAGAGATCTTCCAAGTTGGGATGAGGGGCCTTGGTCTTCATACCCTGGTGTCAGCCAGTCCTTGGATACAGGTGCTCCAAAGAAGGGGGCGTGACCTTGGGCAGTTCTCTTAGGTCAGGGTCAGTTTCCGGAGAGAGACTCAGCTTAGGGCTATCGGCTATCGGTCTGCAGCACTCCAAGAAGCTGGGGAAATCAATCCTTTAGTACTGAAGTGGGTTCTGGCTAATACAGACCAGAGTCCACTACTCTGAGCCTAGGAAGCTTGCCCAAGGTCTCAGGTCACTCGTCAGTGGAAGAGGCAGGACTGGAAACCAAAGCAGCCTGGCCTCAGGGTCTGAGCTCTTCACCCATCACCATCATATTGCAGTGTAGATAGTGGGGCTCGATGGAGTTTGTTTTTTTTTTTTTTTTTTTGAGATGGAGTGTCTCTTTGTCACCCAGGCTGGAGTGCAGTGGCGCGATCTCGGCTCACTGCAAGCTCCGCCTCCCAGGTTCACGCCATTCTCCTGCCTCAGCCTCCCGAGTAGCTGGGACTACAGGCACCCGCCACGACGCCCGGCTTTTTTTTTTTTTTTTTTTTTTGTATTTTTAGTAGAAATGGGGTTTCACCCTGTTAGCCAGGATGGTCTCGATCTCCTGACCTTGTGATCCGCCCACCTCAGCCTCCTAAAGTGCTGGGATTACAGGCGTGAGCCACCACACCCAGCCCGGCTCAATGATGGAGATTTCTAAGCAGAGGAAAGTTGAGGCTCAAGTCTTTCTTTGGGAATGTAGCTTCTGATGAGGTAAAATGGGAGAAAGGAGAAAGATTGGAGAATACCTCTTTTTATATATATGCTCACACACACATATAAAGGAAATGCCAGCCTTATTACTGTATTAATCCGTTCTCACACTGCTAATAAAGACATACCTGAGACTGGGTAACTTATAAAGGAAAGGTTTAATGGACTCACAATTCCACATGCCTGGGGAGGTCTCACAATCATGGTGGAGGTGAATAGGCTCAAAGTCATGTCTGACATGATGGCAGGCAATAGAGTGTTCAGGGGAACTGCCCTTTCTAAAACCATCCGATCTCTTGAGACTTATTCACTATTAGAAGAACAGCACAGGAAAAACCCACCTTCATGATTTCATTACTTCCCACTGGGTCCCTCCCATGACACATGGAGATTATAAGAGCTAGAATTCAAGATGAGATTTGGGTGGGGACACAGCCAAACCTATGAAATACAAAATTCAAAAAGTACAAAAGTGAAAATGAATCTTCTTCTTCCTGTCTTCTCTGCTCCCCGGATATGGCCACCCTTACCCGTTTCTTGCATATGCTCCCAGAGATAGTGTATGCATATTTAAACGGACACAGATGGGTACCGTATTTCGCACTCTTGGTATCACACTATACACACTGTTCTGCACAGCTTTTCAATATGAACACCACTTAGACATTGCTACACCACCATTCACACGGAGCTGTCTTGTTCCTTTAAAAACGGCAAACCTTTGCATTGTGTAGATTTACTATAATTTATGGAACCAGACCTCTCTTGATGGGTATTTTTTGTTCCCAATCTTTTAATATAATAATGCCATAATGTTTGCACATGTGGCAGCTTGCACATATGAGAGTATTTATCTGAGATAGTCCCAGAATTACTAGATCAAAGGGTATATGCAGTTATTTTGACAGAGCCAGATTGGTCTTTATAGATGTCAACACTCTACTGACAGTATGATAGCACCTGTTTTCCCAAATCCTGACTCTGAAATTTTGCCAATCTAATATGTGAAAAATAGTAATTCACCATGGCTTTCATTTGTTTTTTTTATGTTATTATGAGT
Organism: Homo sapiens; assembly: GCF_000001405.40. NCBI lineage: Eukaryota > Metazoa > Chordata > Mammalia > Primates > Hominidae > Homo > Homo sapiens. Next base: position 12,899,259 of record NC_000010.11, on the reverse strand, counting down.
GGGGTTAAGCATCTTTTCATGCGTTTAAGAGATACTGGCGTTTTCTTTCCTGTGAACTATCCACCTTCTGTGTGCTGGCCAGCCCAGCTAAAGGGAGCAAAGAGAGTCTGTTTTTGCTGAAGGGAACCCCTCCCTTCAGTTGGACAGGCCAGCATTGATCAGAGCCTTCGCGAATGTAAGTGGCTCAGCCTTTGTTAATTAGGCCACCTGACTCCCCCCATTCCCGGAACTGTCCACCTTCTGTGTGCATTTCTGGTTTTGGTCTTCTACCAAAGCGGGGCTCTTTCCTTTTTGCTACGCATGACAAATATTCAGAATATCATTTGAAAACGACATCTTCCAAGGAAGCCAAGTATGGAAAGCAAAACGGGGGCTCTGTATTTGAGGCCAGGGCAGGATTCACAGGGTGGAGGGCGGGGAATGTCACCGTCAAGGACATCCTGGGGTTTATGCCCATGCTGGGGTGGGGAATCGGGGTCTGTGTTGCTGTCAGCACTCGGGGAAGCTTCTGGGACTCCCCTGGCCGCAGCGCAGTTTCTGGGACTCACCTCCTCTCCTTGCACGCTGTCTCTGCCTCCAGCTCATGTGCTCCTCGGTGCAGAAGGCCTTGTTTGAGGAGGAGGACCACGTCAAGAAACTGCAGCAGAAAGTGGCCACCCTGGAGAAGCGCAACCGGCAGCTCCGGGAGCGAGTGAAGAAGGTCAAGAGGTCCTTGCGGCAGGCGCGTAAGAAGGGCCGCCACCTGGAGCTGGCGAACCAGAAACTCAGTGAGAAGCTGGCGGCGGGCGCGCTGCCGCACATCAATGCCCGGGGGCCCGTGCGCCCCCCCTACCTGCGGGGGTAACGGGCCTGGGGGCTGCCAGGTGTGCAGGGCCAATCCTGACGGTAATTGAGAATGAGTGAGGTTTCGTACATGCAGCTATTTCAAGGGTTGTAAGAGTTTTTGTTTTTAATCACGCATTTGGTAGAGTCTAAATGGATAAAATGCAAGGCTTGCTTTCCCCTTGGGTGCTGGCCTCAATGTCAGACCCCACGCGCTGCCCCTTCCTGGCCTGACCCCAGACGCAGTGCCTGGCAGTCCAGAGGCAGTGGGATCCCTGAGTGCTGAATGCTCGCCTGCAGAGCAGCCCAGAAAGAGCCCTGACTGGGGAGAGAACATTTTAGAATCTCTAGTGTAAAAGACATCAACGTGCTTAGCCTTTATTTCAGAAAAAAATCAGGGTGGTTCCCAGCTCCCCAGTCCAGGACAACCATTAGTCCTGATGAGTGAGCTGACGCTGGTGCTGGAACCTGCTGGCACCTCACTGGCCACATCTTTGGAAGGGGATGGTGGCCTTGCATCCAAGATGCCTGAAAATCAGCACGTGCAGGGCCTCCCTATCCAGCCAGCATTTTCCTTCCAGCTGAGGCAGGTGAAGACTTCATAAGCTCATCACAGGGGAGGGAATTAGGAGCAGGGCAGCAGGTAATTAAACAAGATAAATTATACCTGATTTCCAACACCAGCTACAAAGAGTTGAAGATGATACCTATGGGTCGCGTTAACACAGGGGGCAACTGCCTTGATCGGCCTGCCATGGGTCATCAGACTGCTTCCTAAATTGAGAGAAACTGAGCAATCTCTCAGCCACTGCTATAGTCTAACTTCTTGTTTGCTGAGTAATTGTTTCTAATGTCTCTGAACTCAAAGTGAGGTGCTCCAAGACGCTGTGAACTTCTGCAAAGACACCTCCTTACCTACTGGGATCACGTGACCTGACCTCACTCCCAGCCAGGCTCCCAAAGGGCTCATTCCAGCCATTCCAATCTCTTCTTCTTTATGCAAACACTTTTCCCCCACAACAAGCCTTGTTTGTTCCGATAGGAATACGTGTACGTCAGTGCACTTGTCCTTACGTCAGTTCCTTACACCACCAAAGCACTTCACCTTTCTGGAAATAAAACTTTTAAGACACTACTATAAGTAAAAATGAGAGTATTCACTAGACTTATTGCTCAGGCACATTTGAGTGGGTCCCAGCTGTGTGATTAAGAAGTCAACTGGGTGGCCTTTTCTGGGTTATCTTCTGATCATGGCCTTTCAACCCAACAAGGGCCCTTCCCTGCTCTTCCACCAGTAAAGGCTCCTGGCCTCTCATCAGGATCTGCCCCCCAGAGACCCCCCCCAGACACTGCAGGGCCTGGTGATGCTGTCCTCTGTACCGGAAATGGCAGGCACTGTCAGATTTCCACTCTTCTGCCTTTAGGAAGGCTGGGTGCTTCTTGCTCTGACAGCCAGTCTGGGGAGATGACTCTTACGTTGCTTGAGTCTTGGTGGCAGGCTGCTGTCCACGGGGGAGAAGTCTCTGCTCTGGACTGGACAGAAGAGAGACTTTTACCCTGGGGCACTCACACGGCCAAGCTTCTGCCACCACTTCATTAGCTGTATTCTCCATAGTATGGTGAAATAGCAGGTGCGTCTTCTAGTTTATTCCTCCTGGGGACATTTCCTCAAAGCAGTTTTGCGCCCCCGCAAGGGAATGGTCAGCCTAAGGGTAATGTACAGCCCGTGCTTGGAGAACCATGGAAGCTACACCCCTACAGGTGCATACTGTTCTGCTTTTCCAATAAATACGAGCGGCGATTTCAACCACAACAGTGAGATGATGAGTGTTTCTTTTGGGTCAGGGAGATTTCAGGATTTCCAGCTTTGGCCTGGAAAAGTGATTTAGATCCTCTGGGGGGAATGCCTGTGAGTAACACCTGGGGCACTGAGGAGCCTGAATTCAAGCCTGCTCTGCTGGCCCTGTCTGGATGTGGCCTCACCCCATCTCGCCCTGGGGTTTCCGTTTCTCAACACACCTGCAGAAAAGCAGTGTTCTCCTGCCTGGCTCCTCACAAGGGACAAGCAGCAACATTAATCAATGTCTTCAGAAAAACACAGAGGATCCCCAGGTCCCTGTTACCTGCTGCACTGTCATCTTATGCTACCCTTGTCATCTGTTAATTGTAGGAATATATTATGCTTCACACTCTAATAATTACTCCGACCTTGATGCACTGTAGCCAGCCTGTCCGGGCACTATCTCCAAGATCCAGACCATTGTTTACTTTCCCTCTGTGGTACAAGGAGCCCAGGAGACTTCCAAACTCAACTCACATAACAAGAGCCAGGTAGAGTCTAGAATCTTCAAACTGCAGTTTCCAGAAATCAAGATAGCAGCATGTGGGCCATAGCTAGCAGGGGTTTAAATTCTTGACCTACAGGAGTTTGAGAGCAGCCTGGCCAACATGGTGAAACCCTATCTCTATTAAAAATACAAAAATTAGCAGGGCATGATGGTGGGTAGTCCCAGCTACTCAGGAGGCCGAGGCAGAAGAATCACTTAAATCTGGGAGGCAGAGGTTGCAGTGAGCTGAGATTGTACCACGGCACTCCAGCCTGGGCAACAGAGTGAGACTCCATCTCAAAACAAAAACAAAAGAAAAATAATTCTTGGCCTAAGCCATGGCCAAAAAAACCAGAAAGTCCATTTATTTAACCACAAAGCCAACATAGCCAAAAATCAGACGTAGGGCAACTTAGGTTGAAGTCATAGCCTTACCAGAACTCATAGAAAAATCTCAGTAACTCACTGGGAATGAGGGGGACCTCAAAAATCTTAATAGATACATTCAGTCCAATTCCCCTCAACTCATAAACCCTATTGGGCTTTCCTGCTAGCAGAAACAGCAGCTCCCTCCCTGTCTGATGAAGCTGTCCTTACCTTGCTTAAGGACCACACGTGGCCTTTCCTGAGATAGTTACTGTGTATAAAGAGCCCAGTTGTCTTCACGCCCCACTCTCAGAACCAGCTGCATGATTTGCAGGACCCCAGTGCAAAATGACAATTCAGAGCCCGTTATTAAAAAAATTGAGAATTTCAAGGCAGCAACAACAGCAAAGCATTAAACCAAGTGTGGGACCCTCTAAAGCACAAGGCTCTGTGTGACTGCATGGTCAGAGGCCCGTGAAACTGACCCTGCCCATGCTACCTTTCCATCTTTACCTCTAGATCTATAATTAGATTAATTGAGCATAGGGAAATTCACCAAGTCACACTCAGAAAACTGCTTACACACCAAAGTAATTTCAAGATTTTGCTAATTTATAGTGGTTAAAGCCTAAGGGTTATACGGTGGGAATGGATATTTAGTGTCTTTCCTAGATTAGCAAAGGGGAAACCTAAGTTTAGATTGTGCAGAATTTATTTATATGGGTGTGTTTGATAGTGTCAGGATTCAATGTGCTAGCTAACTCAGGCAGCTGGAGGTGGTTCTTGCTCAGTTACTTGAACTATAGACTCAATGGTAACCTATGCTGAATGAAGATGAGATGCCAGAAGTTGCTAGGTATAATTTAGACAAAATGATCCAAAGGATTAGGGAGACGACAGGAAGGTTCTAATTGCAACTCAGTCAGCTAGTTCCTACCTTGGCACCTGAGAAGACCCAGAACACATTCACTTTAAAAAGTATCACGTGTTGGCATCCTTGAAAAGCACAGAGGCAGCCATACTTGGAAGCTTAGAGATGAATGTGGGAGATGCTGCCATTAACCTGGGTCCCTGAGCTCAGTGTGGATTATGGGGTACTAGGGTACAAACACCGTGTAGCCATGCTCAACTTCCAGACACAAAGTGGATGTGGTCATTGCAATAGGAAGCAGGGCCAAGGAAGTCATCCAAATTGTGGATCATAGAGTTCCTAGGACTGAAAAGTAGATGGACCTCCTAGGAAAGGCTGGACTGATTTGTATACCAGAAAGCAAGACAGAAGAAAGAAGAGAGAGAGAGCAAAAGAGAGCGAGCAAGTGAGAGAGGGAAATAAAGAGGAAAGGAAGGAAGAGAAAGGAAAGGAAAGGAAGGGAAGGGGAAGGGAGGGGAGGGGAGAAGAGGGGAGGGGAGGGGAAAGGATGGGAGAAAGAGAAAGAAAGAGAAGGAAAGAAAGAAGAAAGAAAGGAAACACATGAAAGGCAAGAAAAGGAAGGAAGGAAGGAAGGAAAGGAGGGAGGGAGGGAAAGGAGGGAAGGAGGGAGATCTAGGCCAGGCGTGGTGGCTCACGCCTGTAATCCCAGCACTTTGGGAGGCTGAAGCAGGTAGATCATTTGAGGTCAGGAGTTCGAGACCAGCCTGGCCAACATGGTGAAACCCTATCTCTACTAAAAAAGTACAAAATATTAGCCAGGCATGGTGGTGGGTGCCTGTAATCCCAGCTACTTGGGAGGCTGAGGAAAGAGAATCACTTGAACCTGGGAGGAAGAGGTTGCAGTGAGCCGAGATTGTGCCACTGCACTCCTGCCTGGGTGACAAAGACTCTCGAAAAAAGAGAACTCTAGATCTGGCAGACAGAAGCCTGACTTGAACTTACATGTATGGGAAATTCATGGCCATTCAACCAATTCCAAGACCTAAGACAGGTCATAGAGCCCCTTGATCAAAGGAAGGTCAGGAACCCTTGAAGAAAGACATTGTGGTAACGTTACAGGATGCTATGGATCTTCCTAGACTATTAAAAAGGGAGCTTCAGATGCTCACCAGTGTAAATGTGCACCACAGCAAAGGAAATCCTAAAACCTTTGAGAGATTATTGATGCTGGTGCTGAGCTCTTACTGAGACAACAGTTAGAGGGGATGCTCATGGGGGTCAGAGAGTAAATGGTGCTCAGGCACAAATCCACCTCACATTAAGCCTCATGAGTCTGTAAACCCATTCTGTGGCTATTTTCCCCAGCTCCTGAGTAAGTAGTCAGAATAGACATTCTTGGCATCGGGCAGATGCCCACATTGGCTCTCTGAACAATGGGGTTAAGGTTATTGTGTCAGGGAAGGTCAAGAGGAAACCCTGGAACTCCAATTTGTTAGTAATGCTAAAGTAGATAAAGAGTAAATAAAATATAAACCAGAAGAATAATATTTTACCAAATGGAGAATATTAGCAAAAAGACAGAAATTATAAAAAGGAATCCAATGGAAAATCTGGAGTTGAAAAGTAGAAATAACTGAAAAATTCACTAGAGGGGCTCAACAGCAGATTTGAACAAGCAGAATAATCAGTGAACTTATAGATTATCCAGGCTGAGAAAGAGATATAAAAAGGAATGAAGAAAAATGAACAGAGCCTAAGAGATGTATAGGATGCTATCAAGTGGACCAACATACACATATTGAGAGTCCCAGAAGGAGAGGAGAAAAAGAAAGGGACAGAGAGTAGATTAGGAATTCCCAGGTGCTGGACATGAATGGGGAGTGGCTATAGGGTTTCTTTTGGAGTGACAAAATGTTCTAGAATTAGATAGCAGTAGTATTTTACAACACTGTAAATACACTAAAAACCACTTAATTATACACCTAAAAATGGTTAAAATAGTGAATTTTTGTATGCAAATTTTATCTTAATAAAAGAAAATCATAGTCTCAGTTCCTCCTGCCTTCCCTTCATCAATATAAACCCTCACTGGATGCAACTTACCCAGCACCAATGTCTTTACTTGTACCATTTCCTCTACCTTTTGCCTTGACCTCTCTTTGTCTACCTCTATCTGAGAAAATCCTACTCAGGTTTAAAAATCTTGCCCAAATGCTATCATGATTCTCATTCCTCATAACAACTTTTGTAATTCTTTAAAATATTGTAGTTTGGAAGTGGATAGCTATTGAGAAGACCTGGGCTATCCAGTCTAAGCCCAACTGGAAAGTTTTGCTAAGTATCAATTTGTTAAATTGCACGTTAAAAAAACACATAATATAAAACTACTCTGTTAACCATATTGAAGAGTGCAGTTCAGTAGTGTTAAACATTTTCATACCATTGTGCAACAACTGAGTATCACTGAAATCTTGATTGGTGAAGTTTTCCCTAACCCCCTAATTGGAATCAATGACTCCTCCCTCTGTAATTCTATAGCATTTGGGGCATGCTCTTGTTCTAGACCACATTTCTTTCCAGTTAGCTCTTGTGTCTGTTCCTCTCACTAATGTTTGAGCTCCTTGAGGACAGGGCTTGTGGCTAATTCACTTCTGATCTTCATGGCCTGCACATTGTGACACTAACTAAATGCTCATCAAGGACAGAATAAAGGGATGAAGATGGCAGCATCAGGTACCAAGGCTGCCAGCATCATAAGAACTGGAGGTGTGAAGTGAAGGAGACAAAGAAGGACTCTTCACCACTCAGGTTTCCTCCTCTTCCTCTGCAACCTGGTCTCGCATCTAGCCTGAGCCCTGGCCAAAAGCAGGGGCCATGATAATCATTCCTTGGGTTCCAGGGTCTCATCAGTGGCTGGCCTCTAGAAAAATCCTACACCAGAATAGTTGCATGGCTAAATCCTCTAGCAGCTGAACTGCTATGATTCAAAACTGTTTGTTCTACGTATGAAGATTTTTCTAGCTTCCAACTCTTTCTAGCTTCCAACTCTCCTGGACTATAAGATCATGTGAAACATCCCCCAATAGTACCATTGGCTCCCTACCTTGCATGACCAACTATACAATAAGATGGCTACATGGCAAACTCACTTCTTGGTTTCCCAATAAATGTTTCTCCAGGGAGGGGATTAGAAAGCCCCTTGATTTTCTCCCCCCTTTGCCCTCCTGCTGCCACTCCCTGGGTGTCTCCAGATCATATTGGCTTTGGCCCTGCAGGCTGCACATAGTGAAGGGGTAAAACTCTAATTAGCTTGTCTGTGGCTTTCTTCCGCTTTTGCTAAGGGCTCAGAAAGGAGGCTGAAAAAGAGAACTAAAGTGAAACATTTTTGTTATGTTTTTTTCCAACTAATCCTGCTTCCCTTGAAAGGATCACAAGTTGGCTGCATTATTCTGCCCCTACAAGATGAATCTCCAGTTGCCAGATGCTTGGGCATGAACTAAATGGCCTGGCATTTCATTTCTTCCTGTCCAATAAAATGAGAATATTTAAACCAGATACAGAAACGTCCTTTTATTAAAAACATGTCTTTATTGTGTAGCTGGGTATGCTGGGAGTAGAGTTCAATATTTCTCGGCCTTTGGATGCTGGAAACAGGGACAAAACTGCCACTATAAAAGTGCCAGACAGTTACATAATGCGACTCTAAACTAATGGTTCTCAACCCTGGCTGCCCAACAGGAACAACTAGGAGCTGTAAATGAAAGGGTACCTGCCAGCTTCCCCCTTCCTACCTGAATGGGCCTCCAGCATAGGCATTAAAAACAAAATGAAGCAAAGCACTACAAAAAAAAACTGCCTTCTGCATAAAGATACTATGCAGCCAGGATTGAAAAATCACTGCTCTAAGGGTAAAAGAGGTTCTTTCCCTTTGGAATAAACACTTTATTCTGGGAGAAATTATTTAGGGAGTCCCCTTGATAAGAAGATACAAGTTAAGGCCCTTGGAATAGCTCTGAATATCAGTAAACTGATGCAAACACTCTAGACTGATCTGTTAATTATCTATTGCTGTTTAACAAGTTACTACAAACTTAGGGGCTCAAAACAACACACATTTATTATCTCACAGTTTCTATGGTTCAGGAATCTAGGCATGGCATATCTGGGTTCTCTGCATCATGGTCTGTCACAAGCCTGCAGTCAAGATATCGGGCAGGGCTAGGGTCTTATCTGAAGGCTCGACTGGGAAGGATCCATTTCTAAGCTCACATGATGGTTGGCAGGATTTGGTTTCTTGCAGGTTGTTGAACTGAAGCCCTCAATTCCTCCCTGGCTGCTGGCTGCCTTCAGTTCCTTGCCAAGTGTGCATCCCCAGCATGGCTGCTTGCTTCATCAAAGTGTGCAGACTAAGAGGGCAAAAGAGAAAGTCTGCAACAAGATGTAAGTCACAATCCTCGGTAACCTCATCAAGGAAGTGACGTGCCATCACTTTTGCAATATTCTGCTGACTAGAAGCAAGTTACAGGTACCATGCATGCCCAAAGGGCAGGAAATTCACAGGGACATGAATACCAGGAGCTGAGGACCTAGGGGAGCCAGTTTAGTTGGCCTGCCACACCTGGGCTTTCATAATTCAACTTAACCGTATAAAAGAACGGCCTATGGTGAGGCGAGTACATACCCACAGACACAGTTTTATCACTGTCTCCACTATTTCCATTCCACCACCACTAGGGGCTTGGTATTTTTATGAGGGGCAATTGGCAACCCCCCACCATATCTGGAAATCACAGAAGCACTGGTAAGTCATCCACTGTCTCCCTGATGTAGTCCAACATCCAACAAAGAGTGTATAAGACTCAATTAAAGCACAGAGAAATCCAGGATAAAAAGGAATTCTAAGGGCTCTGCAGGCCAACTCTAATCCAAACTCAAACCCCTTCTTTAAATACCCCTCTGTTTTAGTTAGTTCAGGCTGCTATAACCATAGACTGGGTGGCTTAAATAACTAACACTGATTTCTCTTAGTTCTGGAGCCTAGAAGTCCAAGATCTGGTTTGCAGACGGCATCTTCTCGTTGTGTTTTCACATGACAGAGAGCAGAGAGAGAGAAGAACCAATTTCTCTTCTGTCTCTTCTTTTTTTTTTTTTTTTTTTTTGAGCAGTCTCACTCTGTCACCAGGTTGGCGTGCAGTGCTGCGATCTCGGCTCACTGCAACCTCTGCCTCCCGGGTTCAAGCAATTCTCCTGCCTCAGCCTTTCAGGTAGCTGGGACTACAGGCACCTGCCACCATGCCCAGCCAATTTTTTTGTATTTTTAGTAGAGATGGGGTTTCACCATGTTGGCCAGGATGGTCTCGATCTCTTGACCTCGTGATGTGCCCACCTCGGCCTCCCAAAGTGCTGGGAATACAGGCGTGAGCCACTGTGCCTGGCCTCCTGTCTCTTCTGCTAAGGGAACTAACCCCAAAGTGGGGCTCCAATCTCATGACTCAGTTACCTTCATAATTACCTCTGATGCCATCACATTGCAGGGTAGAGCTTCAACATGGGCATTTTAGGGGGACCCAAACAGGCAGGTCATAGCACCCTCTCTGCTGGCTACCCGGGCTCAGTGGGGAAATTTACAGTGACAAAGAATGTTTCATAAGGAGAAGGCCATTGCTGTGAGAGGCTAAAGGACAATGCTGACTTTTATTCTTCTTCCTCGGAAGTGCTTTCGCTGTGATGCCTAGAGATGACTTAGCTTCTCTGCACTGGTTTCTCCATGAGTAAATTTAAAATCTATCTATCTGTCTGTCTATCTATCTATCTATCTATCTATCTATCTGTCCGTCCGTCCGTCCGTCCGTCCGTCCGTCTACCCACCCACCCATCCATCCTACTATCATCTTCACATCTATCTTGCTTTCCAGTATGGCCCCTGAAAATAGGTGGAGGGCATTGATTTTTTACAATTGCTCAAGTGCATGGATCTCTTCCAAGGCGTAGCTTTGCTTAAATCCCACACTGTTGTTTGTAGCCTGTGTTTAAAACCAGTTTTCTTTGTAAGTTTGATTTTGCTTTGGGTTCCCCAAGGCCATTAC